>NW_016107308.1:0-99845 GCF_000001405.40 Homo sapiens | reverse complement strand
TTAGAAACAACAAAGGGTATATTACCACTCACCCCACAGAAGTACAATCATCAGAGAATATTATGAACACCTCTATGCACACAAACTAGAAAATCCAGAATAAATGGAGAAATTCCTGGACACATACACCCTCCTGAGATCAAACCAAGAATAAATTGAATACATGAACAGACCAATAATGAGCTCCAAAATTGAATCAGTAATAAAAATCCTACAGACCAGAAAAAGCCCAGTACCAGACAGACTCACAGCTGAATCCCATCTGATATATAAAGAAGAGCTGGTACTATACCTACTGAAACGTTCCAAAAATATTCAGGAGGAGGAATGCCTCCCCAGCTCATTCTATGAGACCAGCATCATCTTGATGCAAAAACATGGCAGAGACACAACAAAACCAGAAAACTTCAGGACAATATCCTTGTTGAACATAAATGCAAAAATCCTCAACAAAATACTAGCAAACTATCCAGCAGCACATCAGAAAGCTAATCCACCACCATCAGGTAGGCTTTATTTCTGGGATGCAAGGTTGATTCGATATAGGAGTCTCGCTCTGTTGCCCAGGCTGGAGTGTAGTGGCGTGAACTTGGCTCACTGCAAGCTCCGCCTCCTGGATTCATGCCATTCTCCTGCCTGAGCCTCCCGAGCAACTGGGACTACAGGCGCCCGCCACCATGCCTGGCTAATTTTTTTGTATTTTTTAGTATAGACGAGGTTTCACCGTGTTAGCCAGGATGGTGTCGATCTCCTGACCTCATGATCCACAAGCCTTGGCTTCCCAAAGTGCTGGGATTACAGGCATGAGCCACAGTGCCCGGCCAATATACACAAATCTTAAATATGATTCATCACATAAATAGAACAACCCTCCCCACACACATAATCCTCTCAATAGAGCTTTTGATAAAATTCAACATCCCTTTATGCTAAAAAACCTCGACAAACTAGGCATTGAAGAAACATATTTCAAAATAATAAGAATGATGTATGACAAACTCACAGTCAACATCATATTGAATGGGCAAAAGCTGGAAGTATTCCCCTTGAAAACTGGCAAAAGACATGGATGCCGTCTCTCACTACTTCTGTTCAACATAGTACTGGAGGTCCTAGCTAGAGCAATCAGGCAAGAGAGAAATAAAAGGCATCCAAATAGGAAGAAAGGAAGTCAAACTATCCCTGTTTGCAGGTGATATGATTCTATACCTAGAAAACCACAGTCTCTGCCCAAACACTTCTTAATCTGATAAACAACTTTAGCAAAGTTCCAGGATACAAAATCAATATATAAAAATCAGTAGCATTCCTATACACCAAAAACATCTAAGCTGAGAGCCAAATCAAGAATAGAATCCATTCACAATTACTGCAAAAAGAATAAAATACCTGGGAATACAGCTAACCAGGGAGGTGAAAGATCTCTGCAAGGAGAACTACAAAACACTGGTCAAAGAAATCATAGATGACACAAACAAATGGAAAAACATTCCATGCTCATGGATAGGAAGAATGAGTATTGTTCAACACACAAATAATTCAGGCTTTAGAAGGAGCTGGAAGAGAGAAGACATGGATGGACGTGGGGCTCACACCCATTAGGAGGCTAAGGCAGTAGTAGTTGGGGTGGCAGAATATTCAGTAGTACACTAAGACTGCCTCATGCTTAGTACTGCAGTAGTACTACAGAATGCTAGAGTGTTCAGTAGGGTTAGACTATGGCAGCATCCTTTTAAATGAAGTGACGGGAGGAAGTGGGTTGCTAAAACAAAATAGAATCAGCATAAGGAAGGATATTGGGCAGATGACTCCTGACTTCCTCATTCTTGCAGTTTGAGCATTCAGTAAATTACAGATCCTTCATGGACAGTCTAACACAGGCAAGGACTAACTATAAATCCAGGCCTGAGCATTAATGAGTCTGAAGGGTTTGGAGATAACAAAGTGAGATAGAAATTATGCAAGAGAAGCACAGCAGAAACAACTAGAATGGGGACTAAAATAAGAATGGTGCTTCAGGCTATTCCTCAATTTCTTTATCCTAGAGCTCCCAAGAGGGTCTAAAGGGGCTGGGAGAGATTTACAGGACACTTACCTTCCTGTGCCTGAATCCTCTGGCCCAGACAGAGCACTGGAAGAGAGAGATTTATGAAAAATCAAGCTTCCATTTCCAACCTTTACGACAAATCACCCTCTGTAATGACAGACCAGAAAAAGACCAGTACCAGATGGATTCACAGCTCAATCCCACCAGATATATAAAGAAGAGCTGGCATTTTTTTTTTTTTTTGACACAGAGTCTCGCTGTGTCGCCCAAGCTGGAGTGCAGTGGCATGATCTTGGCTCACTGCAAGCTCTGCCTCCCAGGTTCATGCCATTCTCCTGCCTCAGCCGCACGAGTAGCTGGGACTACAGGCGCCCGCCACCACGCCTGGCTAATTTTTTTGTATTTTTAGTAGAGACAGGGTTTCACCATGTTGGCCAGGATGGTTTTGATCTCCTGACCTTGTGATCCGCCTGCCTTGGCCTCCCAAAGTGCTGGGATTGCAGGTGTGAGCCACTGCGCCCGGCCAAGAAGAGCTAGTATTATTCCTACTGAAACTATTGAAAAAAATCCTGGAGGAGGGACTCCTCCCCAACTCATTCTATGAGGCCAACATTATCCTGATAACAAAATGTGGCAGAGATACAACAAAAACAGAAAACTTCTGGATAATATCTTTGTTGAACATAAATGCAAAAATCTTCAACAAAATACTAGTAACCATATTTCTATATGGGGTTCTATCATATGTTTTCCTTCCACAACAATCACAGTTTTGAGGTTCATTCTTTATTTTTACCTTTCAGATTCCAGCCTCTAAGTCTCTCCTTGATAAGAACCTTGGGACCATCATGAATCCCAGATAACACACTATAGGTTTAATACAAATATTAAACCTTGAGCCCCACAAGCTAGCTTGGGCTTGGGTAGAGACAAAGTTATAGATACATTGACAAAGACGGCCTTTCCACTAAGGAGATCAGAATCTCCTTGGCAGCCACTAAAATCTCCTAGTCACACTGTTAAGAGACACCCTGATTATTTTGGGATTTCTCTATCTTCCCCTCTAACCCACTTTTACTCTGAAACTCACCAAGACACAGGAGGGTGGTCTGTTTGGGGTCCATCGTGCTGACACGGCCTCAGCCCCGTTGCTCTCCTTTCAATGCACATTAGCAGGATGACAGATATTCTTACGACAATAAGCTCCGCAGGAAGTATGAGGACAGAGCCCCTCGTCAGGGAATTTCCACATCTATTGCCTCACAGCAAAGTGGAACAGTTCGTTGCCGAATAACTTAGTTCCAGGTTGCTCTTGGGTGGAGCCCAAGAGAAGACATATATATGTATATTTTTTTAAATAGAGATGGGGTCTTTCTATGTTGGCCAGGGTAGTCTCTAACTTCTGGCATCAAGAAATCCTCCTGCCTAAGACCTGTATTTCTATTTATGTTTCAGATGAGAAACGAATGAGAAGTGAATTTTCATTAAGCCAGTGTCTAATGGTGTTCAAATTCATCTTTGAACCAGATGCTACATCCAAATAGACGGGCTTGGGACAGAATATAAGGTGGTGGATACCATACAGGCAGACATTGCCTTCACTGGGCCATTAGTCAAAAGCTCTGTGGCTTTGTCTGTTCTGAACCTATGTTTCATCTCTGAGATTCATGGTCTGAGTATATTTACTTGGACTTGACCAGGCATGCAGTATACCCTTATCCTGGAGATGATCTCAATGCCAGAGTGTGGAGGCATTTTCTCTGGCACTATTTGTCATCTCTAAAGAAAGAATCTACTATTTTATTATACTTTTTTGTTTATTTGTATAAATTTAAGGAGCGCAAGTGAAATTTTATTACGTGGATATTTTGTGTAGTGGTGAAGTCTGGGCTTTTAATATAATTATCCTCAAATAATGTACATTGTTGCTCATTGAGTATTTTTTTAACTTTTATTTTAGGTTCAAGGGTACATGGGAAGGTTTGTTATACAGGTAAACTTGTGTCATGGGGGTTTGTTGTACAGATTATTTCATCACCTAGGTAATAAGCTTGGTACCTAATAGTTACTTTTCCTGCTCCTTTCCCGCCTCCCACCCTCCACCCTAAAGGAGACCCCATTGTCTGTTTTTCCCTTTTTTGTGTTCATGAGTTCTATTATTTAGCTTCCACTTATAAGTGAGAACCTGCTGTATTTGGTGTTCTGTTCTTGTATAGTTTGCTAAGGATAATGGCCTCCAGCTCCATCCATGTTTCCACAAAACATATGAACTCATTCTTTTTTTATGGCTTCAAATTAATTTTATTTTTATCTTATTATTTATGTTATTTTGATTGTAGACTCCTGGCTATCACGAATTCTTCAGGTATGGAGAGTGAAATATTCCTAATTAAACCTTCTACTATTTTATTTTATTTTATTTATTCTTTTTTTTTTTTTGAGACGGAGTCTTGCTCTGTCGCCCAGGCTGGAGTGCAGTGGCGTGATCTCAGCTCACTGCAAGCTCCACTTCCCGGGTTCATGCTATTCTCCTGCCTCAGCCTCCCGAGTAGCTGGGACTACAGGCACCCGCCACCACGCCCGGCTAATTTTTTTTGTATTTTCAGTAGAAACGGGGTTTCACCGTGTTAGCCAGGATGGTCTCGATCTCCTGACCTCGTGATCCACCCACTTCGGTCCCCCAAAGTGCTGGGATTACAGGCATGAGCCACCGCGCCCCACTTTATTTTCATTTTAATACATCATAACTTAGCCCTTCCAACGCCGAAGTATTTTGAAGTCCTGAGCTTGTCCCATATTTCAGAAAGCCGATCAGCTTCCATGTTGACTGTTTCATTTGTGCAAATTTAAGTGACCTTTTGTTTTGCCACATTTTGTTAATTTCCACATACATATTTACGTTCGGGAAATTTGGAAATACTACGTTCTGGAAATTTGGTGTTGATGATTGCATGAAATTGACCGCATTCTAATTTTCTTTTTTTGTTGTTTTGTTACTTATGCCTTATTTATTCATTCCTTTGTTCTCACTTGAATGGGACTTTGGGTGAAAGACAAATAATGGCTGTACTCTTAGTTGAGTATTTAAAATGCAGAGATTGTAAAGGCAGGATGACCTAATTAAAAATACTATTGTTGGCTGGGTGCAGTAGCTCATGCCTGTAATCCCAGCACTTTGGGAGGCCAAGGCAGGTGAATCACTTGAGTTCAGGAATTTAAGACCAGCCTGGTCAATGTGGTGAAACCCAGTCTCTACTAAAAATATAAAAAATTACTTGGGTGTGGTGGCGGGTGCCTGTAATTCCAGCTACTCGGAAGGCTGAGGCAGGAGAGCCACTTGAACCCAGGAGGCAGAGGTTGCAGTGAGCCAAGATCACTGCACTCCAGCCTGGGCAACACAGAGCGAGACTGTGTCTCAAAAAAACAAAAGCTATTGTTATGGTTTACAAATGACGTGGCTTTCTATTGGGAGAGAGATACTTACTAATTGTTGAATTTCAGGAACTTCAGTGGCCAATATTTACTAATGGGCTGGAACAGATTTTGTCAACTTACCACAACATTTGGTGTGGTTTTGTTCTTTTGTTTCCTCCTTTTGTGGAACAGGAATGGTAACGTAGCCATGGGGTGCTGAGATATTTGGTTAAACATTATTCTGTGTGTGTCTGTGGGGGTGTTGCTGAATGAGATTATCAATGGAATTAGTGTAATTTATAAAGCAGATTGCTCTCCCTAATGTGAGTCGGCCTCATTCAATCAGGTGGGACCTGAATAGAACAAAACATTGAACTGGTAATGTAAGATGAAGTTCCTTTTGCTTGGACATCAGTCTTTTCTGGCTCTTGAACTCTCACTAAAACATTGACTCTTTAGATGTTAAGCCTGCCAGCTTTTTTTGTTTGTTTGTTTTTTTGAGATAGAGTCTCACTCTGTCACCCAGGCTGGAGTGCTGTGGCATGATCTCGGCTCACTGCAACCTTCACCTCTTGGGTTCAAGCAATTCTCGTACCTCAGCCTCTGAGTAGCTGGGATTACAAGCGAATGCCACTATGCCCGGCTAATTTTTGTATTTTTAGTAAAGATGGGGTTTCACCATGTTGGCCGGGCTGGTCTTGAACTCTGACCTCAGGTGATCTGCCTGCCTTGGTCTCCCAAAGTGTTGGGATTACAGGCGTGAGCCATCATGCCCGGCATGAGCCTGCTAGCTTTTGGACTGTTACGTATACCACTAACTCTACTGGTTCTCAGACTTTTGCACGTAGACTGGAACTACACGTGGACTCCCCTGGGTCTCCAGCTTGCAGATGGCAGATCATGGGACCTGTCAGTCTACATAGTTGCATAAGCCAATATATAAATACCCTATCTGTGTATCAATCATTATATATCTGTCATTATCCAACTATATGTCTATCATTATTTGTGATATCATTATATATCTATCATTATTTGTCTATCAATCATTATCTATATATCTATCATTATTAGTGTTGATTATTTTTTTTTCTGGAGAACCCTGACTACTATAGCTTCCATGTTCCTGTCTCAACTGTCACCAGTCCCCTTAGCACAGGGCCTATCATAGCCATTCTACGGCCCAAGGAATTACAAGCCACATAACTACAGGAGTCACAGTGACCCAAGGATTTAGACGGAGACACGGAAGAATTGAGGCATCTATTGGTCTCTGCATATTTTGGGATTTGGGATTTCCCAGCAGGGAAATTTGCCTTGAATCTGTCTAACTGGTCACTAAGAGTTGATTGGTAGGTTCCATTCTCCGTGCACAGCATAAACCCTAATAAGCCCAAACTGACTGGCAGTGGAGACTCTCAACCCTCAATGGGACCAAACTGTGACTGGCAGTGGAGACTCTCAACCCTCAATGGGACCAAACTGTGACTGGCAGTGGGGACCTTCAACCCTCAGTGGGACCGAACTGTGACTGGCAGTGGGGACCTTCAACTCTCAGTGGGACTTTACAGCACTCAGCTGCACCTGTGTGGAGAATTTGTCTCAAACACCTAAGAAGGAAGGAGGCCTTTGTTTCGAGGAAGAAGAAGGGGAGCTGCTTCTCTATCCACTGACCTCAGAGGTACCGGAGAGTGTCCAGTGAGGGCCTTAACTCTCTGCAGTATTTTTTTTTTTTTTGAGATGGAGTCTCACCCTGTCGCCCAGGCTGGAGTGCAATGGCAGGATCTCGGCTCACTGCAACCTCTGCCTCCCCAGTTCAAACGATTCTCCTGTCTCAGCCTCCTGAGTATCTCAGATTTACAGGCACCTGCCACCATGCCCAGCTATTTTTTGTATTTTTAGTAGAGACAGAGTTTCACCATGTTGGCCAGGCTGATCTCGAACTCCTGACCTCGTGATCTGCCCACCTCCGCCTCCCAAAGTGCTGGGATTATAGGCGTGAGCCACTGCACCCAGCCACTCTCTGCAGTTTTAAAGGCCATTTCCATGAATTAGAGTATACTTAGGCACTGAGGTAAGCATGGCACAGCTTTCTGAAAATAAAGTTGAAACTTAGAGGTTTCTTTTAGCTTTATTGAGATATGATTGACAAATGGAAATTGTATATATTTAAGGTGTATTACACTTGATGTTTTGATGTATGTATACATGGTGACATGATCATCATAGTCAAGCTAGTTATATCCATCATCTCGCAGGGTTATTGTTTTTTTTTTTTTTTTTTTTGAGAGGAAGTCTTACTCTGTCCCCCAGGCTAGAGTGCAGTGGTGCCATCTTGGCTCACTGCAACCTCCGCTCCCAGGTTCCAGCAATTCTCGTGCCTCAGCCTCCTGAGTAGCTGGGATTACAGGCTTGTGTCACCACGCCTGGCTAATGTTTGCATTTTTAGTAGAGACAGGGTTTCACCATGTTGGCCATGCTGGTCTTGAACTCCTGACCTCAAGTGATCTGCCCGTCTTGGCCTCCCAAAGTGCTGGGATTACAGGCGTGAGCCACCGCGCCCGGCCTATGGTTTCTTTTTCTTTCTTTCTTTTTTTTTTTTTTGTGGTGAGGACCCTTAAGATCTACTCTCCCAGCCGGGCGTGGTGGCTCATGCCTGTAATCCCAGTACTTTGGGAGGCCGAGGCAGGCGGATCACGAGGTCAGGAGATCGAGACCATCCTGGCTAACACAGTGAAACCCCGTCTCTACTAAAAATACAAAAAATTAGCAGGGCGTGGTGGCGGGCGCCTGTAGTCCCAGCTACTCGGGAGGCTGAGGCAGGAGAATGGCGTGAACCCAGGAGGCGGAGCTTGCGGTGAGCCGAGATCGCGCCACTGCACTCCAGCCTGGGTGACAGAGCAAGACTCCAGCTCAAAAAAAAAAAAAAAAAAAAAAATCTACTCTCCCATGCTTGCCTCGGCAGCACATATACTAAAATTGGAACGATACAGAGAAAACTAGCATGGCCCCTGCGCAAGAATGACACGCAAATTCGTGAAGTGTTCCATATTTAAAAAAAAAAATCTACTTTCCTGGTAAATTTCAAGTATAGAGTACAGTATTGTCAACCATAGTGGCAAAGCTGTACAAGAGATCTTCAGACCCATTCCTCCTGAATACCTGATAGTTTGTATCCTTTGATCAACATCTCCCAATTCCCTCCCCCACACTGTCCCTGTAGTTCTAGTGAGTTCCCCAGACTCTGATGTCTCAATTTCATTCAGTCACTTTCCTCCAGATACATCTACCCATTCCTACTGCATCTTAGTATCCTGAGCCTTGGGGGCAGTTTCTGTGCCAAGTGGAAATGTGGAAATGAGATATTACGAAGAAAAATCTTTGCCCACCTAGACAGGGATCTGATGTTTTCCAAGATGACACATGATTACATGTTGAAATGATAATATTTTGAGTCTACTTGTATAATAAAATAATATTTTGGATCTATTAGGTTAATATTTTGGGTCTGTTGGGTTAATAATATTTTGGGTCCATTGGGTTAACTTAAATTAATTTTATCTGTTTCTTGTTAGCTTTTTAATTTGGATACTAGCAAGTTTGAAAGAATGCATGTGGTTTGCATTATGTTTCTATAGGACAGAACTTACCTGTAGATGTAAGGGAGTCACAACAAAATTACAAGCATTGTTTTTGGTGGAAATGAGAAAAATGATTACAAATTTACATGGAAAAGCAAATAGCCAATAATAATAATAATGGCAATCTTAAAGAGGAAGGAGAAATTAGAGGATTCAGGCTGCCAAATTTTAAGGGGTTCTATAAGGCCACATAAAGTGCAGCATCCTCATGAGAGTGGACACAGAGAGCCACTGAGCAGAAAAGAGTGTGTAAAATACATCTGTGTACACACAGTCCTTTTATAGTTGACAGAGGCTGCCATGCGGATTAAGGTGGAATAGAATGTCTTCTCAGTAAATAACATTGGACCAGAGGGTTACAAGCAGGAAAAAATAAATCTAAGCTTATTTTCACACCATAAAAACACTGCTAATTTTTTATCTTATTATCATACATTTTGATGATTTATTTATAAAATTGATGAATGAAAATTATATACAGTAGTCCTTCACTATTCATGGGTGATTGGTTCCAGGAAACCCCCCTCCCTACCAGACACCAAAATCTGCAGATGCTCAAGCCTGTTGCATGAAATGGCACAGCATTTGCATATAACCCATGCACATCCTCCTGTATACATGAAATCATCTCTAGATTACTTATAATTCCTGATACAGCCTACACACCACCTCACTTGTGTCCACACAATATAGTATTTTTGCTTTTTGGAACTTTGTGGATTTTTTCTCTGAATATTTTTGATTTATATTTGGTTCAATAAACACCTGTAAACCCCACAGATATGGAGGAGCGACTGTATATTTATAGTATGAAAGATGATGTGTTGACAGTCCAGGCTGTCTCCCCATCTCAAGGTCAACTCATCAACAACCTGAGCTCCACCTTCCCCTTCAGTCCCCTGCCCTATAACATAAATAGTCACAGGCTCCAGGGTTTACAATGTAGCCATCATTGGCGACAGTGATTCTTCCCACCACAGCGCCCATTTCCCCTGTATTCAATCCCCCTTGACCCCAAATACAGTTGGGGCCTGGGTGATGGGACCCTGATGGACACCCCCACCAGAAGCTCTGGGATTCAGGAGGTGGGACAGTGAGAAGCCCAGACAGAAAGCCTCTGACCTGTGACCATGATCACCAGGGGGTTGCTGGGTGTCGACCACCCAGTGAGGGAGTGTGGGCGTGAACCCCGACATCTGTAGGTCCCTGCATGTGCTGGGGTCACAGGGCCCATGATGAAGCTCTCCTGGAATATTCTGCCGTGGAAGATGGGAACGTGGCTTCTGTCTTCTTTGTACAGCATGAAATTGTTAAACCCACGACGATAGTGACACTGAAGAGCCACGTGTCCTCCTCGAGGCACCACAGTGCTGGGCCGGGCAGACAGGAAGGGTTTGTCCTGACCACCTGGGGGAGAAGGAGGCACTGCCTTAGAGAGGAGGATGTGGAGCCACCCCTCCCTCCCTGTGCTCAGAAGATTCTCCCATTTCCACTTTCTAAGGCTCCTACCACACCTGGGTGCCCAGGGCTACAGGAAGGACCCACCCCACATAGACATGGCGTCTCCCTACAACAAGTGTCAGCTGAGAACTTTGAGCAAGTGCTGAATAAGTGACTCTTACTAGATTTTAATACTGCAAAATTACTCACATAAAACAACACAAAGTAGACACGGCATGGAGGGCATGTCCTATGTGAATGGAATATCAGCCAATTCATGAACTGAGCCCCCTCAGAGGATTTGGAATGTCAGGGCCATGGCTGTGGTTTCCCCCCTCTTCTGGTAGAAAGACCGCAGCCACACTGCAGTCCCTACCGTCACGGAAACGCTGGAGGGTGTCAGTTATACCTTTGTCCTCAGAGGACCTGCTGTTCCTAGCACTGCTTCCCTCTCTTTCTCTGCTGCTGACACCACTTCCTCCCTGCACACCCCAGCTTGGAGCACCCCAGTCTCACCCCAGTCTTCACAGAGCTTGACTCAGGAAAGGGAAAGAAAGGCCGGGGAGGGCGAGGTCAGAAATGTGGGCCGAGTATCCAAGGGTCCCCTCTTCCTAGTTTATGAGAGACTCCCCGACAGGACTTCCCTCCTGTTTCAGAAAAATCCTCTTATGTGGGGAGATGACACCCTAAGGTTTGGGGAAGGACTCACCCATGAGTGGCCAGGCCCCCTGCAGCAAGAAGAACCCTGGAAAGAAAGATCATGATAGACGATCCAACTGCAGGCAAACCAGGGCACCCTGCTGCCCCCACTGCACTGTGTGTCTTGGCAGCCAGGCCCTTGCTGGGCTGAAGGTAAACTTAGCCTCCCTGCTACCTGCTGCCAAGAACAGGGCTCTCAGCTGTGGAGAGACCCAGGCTCCAGGCCCAGATCAACACTTCCTGGCCCAGATCTCCACTCCAGGCCCATATCTCCACTCCAGGCCCCTATCTCCACTCCAGGCCCATATCTCCACATCAGACCCATATCTCCACTCCAGGCCCATATCTCCACATCAGACCCATATCTCCACTCCAGGCCCAGATCTCCCCTCTAGGCCCATATCTCCACTCCAGGCCCATATCTCCACTCCAGGCCCATATCTCCACATCAGACCCATATCTCCACTCCAGGCCCATATCTCCACTCCAGGCCCAGATCTCCACCTGCAGGCCCATATCTCCACTCCAGGCCCATATCTCCACTCCAGGCCCGTATCTCCACTCCAGGCCCATATCTCCACACCCAGGCCCATATCTCCCCTCCAGGCCCATATCTCCACTCCAGGCCCATATTTACACCTCCAGGCCCATATCTCCACACCCAGGCCCATATCTCCACTCCAGGCCCATATCTCCACTCCAGGCCCATATCTTTACCTCTAGGCCGAGATCTCCATCCCCACTCTCCCTCCCTCTATTCCCTTCCAGGACTCACCAACGCACGCCATGCTGACGACAGTGAGCGACATGGTGCTGCCGGTGCAGACAGGAGGCCGCGCCCCAGCTCAGCTCAGCAGCGCACAGGATGTTATTTGGCGCCCTGCCCATGCAGTTTACATGTTGACCACATCATGGGAGGGTGACGTACGCAGGCTCTTTCTACCTTGCATGAGGCCCAGTGGGTGCTCGCTCAAGAGCGGAACATGGCTTCCTGGAAATTGTTGTGACTACAATTGCCACCTTGCATCCTTCACTATGACCAGACTCAAAAGACGTCTCAGATCCAACCTCTCACACATGAGGTGATTGAATTCTGTGCTTACATTAAAGACTTTTGATGTATTTTTGTTTTTATCTGAGATTCAAACTTTTCTTCATGTGTAATGTGCAAAATATCTAAGAGGTATTATTAACATTATCAGAGTAATTGTGACAAAAAGCCATTCTAATTTTCCTGATGAGTTTCTAGTACTAAACCTGAGGCACGAGAATTGCTTGAACCTGGGAGGCGGAGGCTGCAGTGAGCTGAGCTCAAGCCACTGAACTCCAGCTTGGGTGACAGAGGAAGAGTCTGTCTCAAGAAAGAAAAAAAAAAGCAAACTAAATAACCTATAATAACAAATCAGAGAACTCAGGTTACCAAATTTTAAGGGGTTCTATAAGTTTATATGAAATGCAGCATCCTCATGAGAGGGGATACAGAGAACCACTGGGCAGAAAACTGTGTCTAAAATACATCTGTGGATACACAGTCCCTTCATAGTTGACAAAGGCTGCCATGTAGTTTAAGGTGGAATAGAATATTTTCTCAATAAATAACACAGGACCATAGGGTTACACGTAGGAAAAAATAAATCTAAACTTATCCTCACACTATAAAAACACTTCTTATTTTTTATCTTGTTGTTGTAAACTTTTTATGCTTTATTTTTAAGATTGACAAATAAAAATTATATACTGTGGTCCTTCACTATTCCTGGGTGATTGGTTCCAGGATCCCCATTCAGATACCAAAATCTGCAGATGCTCAAGCCCCTTGCATGAAATGGCATAGCGAAGCTGGGCACCGTGGCTCACGCCTGTAATCCCAGCACTTTGGGAGGCTGAGTTGGGTAGATCACGAGGTCAGGAGTTCAAGACCAGCTGGTCCAACATTCTGAAACCCCATCTCTACTAAAAATACACACACAAAAAAATTTATCTGTGCATGGTGGCACGTGCCTGTAATCCTAGGGGAGGCTACTGGGGAGGCTGAGGGAAGACAATCGCTTGAACCTGGGAGGCGGAGGTTGCAGTGAGCTGAGATCATGCCACTGCACTCCAGCCTGGGTGAGAGAGTGAGACTGTCTCAAAAAAAAAAAATAGCATAGTAATTGCATAGAACCCATGCACATCCTCCTGTATACATGAAATCATCTCTTGATTACTTATAATTCCTGACACAGCCTACACGCCACTCAATTTGTGTCGATTCAACATAGTTTTTTGCTTCTTGAAACTTCGGGGATTTTTTTCTGAAAACATTTTTGATTTATTGTTGGTTCAATAAACACCTGTAAACCCCACAGATATGGAGGACCGACTGTATATTTATATTATGAAAGATGATATGTTGATATGTGTCCCCGTGGAGATGAGGCTAACAAGGCCTATGACTCTACAAATGTTTCATCGTGGAATGACTCTGCCAGCTTTCCAGGTCTGCAGAGAGTAAGAATATCACTTGTTCATGTGATTCACGATCCTTGGAGCCTCCTATGTGCTGTATCTTTGGATGGAAATTGGAGTCTCAGAGACAAATCAGGCTCCATTCTGCTTCCAGAAGCTCAGAGTCCAGGGCTGAGAACCCAATGGAGAACAGATGGGGTTATGTGGACATGGTAATGATAACACCGGAAGCCTTAGGCAAGAAAAGAGTCTCGTTACCGAAACCATGAGGGCAGACATGTTTATTTGAAGGCGGGAAAACTACATTGAAATTATTTAAAAAATTTATAAGTTTTACTGCTGGCAGAAGGCTGAAAGATAGTCTGAAGGGAGGTGGAACAGCACGTGTCTAAGTGCTGTGTTAAGAGGCAGCCTCTTGTATGTTTGGAATTGTGAGTTCCTCAGTGTGATTGCAGCCTCAGGTAGACTAGGAAGTAAGCCAGTTAGGTTGGAGAGGTGGGCAGGGGTCAAGTGAAATGGAGAATTGTGGGCTAAGCAAAGGAGTGTGTTTTCTCTCCAGCAGGCAGTGGGGACCTTAGACATTTGTAAGCAAGAGAGAGGCATGTTCAGATTCGTGGTGTGAGGAAGAGCGATGCCCTAAGATGAAGACTGATGCCTTCAGATTCCAGCTGCTGGTACATGGGAGCTGGCAACCCGGTTTTGAGACAGGGCTGTTGTCTCCCTAGAAGATCCCCTCAAGGCCTGACTGTGGTGCTCGTGGACAGAAGACAACTTTGGATCTGGGCTCAGCATTTGGAAGTTCTATGTACATGCTGGTATCTGTTGGGGGTGTCTTGGGCCTCTCAGAAGGGCGAGTGATTTTTCTCTGTGTGAAAACACAGTGATCCAATTATGCGTATGACACCTCCTGATGGTCTTGTTCATCAGAATCCTGGAGAGAGGGAAATGCTGAGTGAGGGAGGGTGCTCACATTTTTCAGGACTCTTTGGGAATAAGACTAGCCACGAGGCTGGGCCGAGGAGCACCTACCTCGCTGTTCACTGTTCTGTTCCCTGCAGGCTCTTGGTCCATTACAGCAGCATCTGTAGAAGACGGAAGTCAACAAAAGAGCTCGGAGGGCACTTCTGGGTCCTCATTTCATAAGCAGATACCAACAAACAGGGGGAGGCCATAGGTGCCTGAGGTCCCTCAGTTGCCAACAGCAGACTCAGACATTCTATCTCTCTGAGTTCAAGGACCCATCCCATGAATAGCTCTGAGGTCCCATCCCATTGATTCTATCTCCCACTTTCTGCCTGTCATGGAACCTTCTCCTGGATGTGAGTGGCTGCAGGGGACGTGAGGATACAGTTCAGAATCAGGCAATGGTCTGTGAGCTGAAGGCAGGGGAAGGGAATCTGGTGCTCTCTCTAGAAAGTCCTGCCTCTGTGGCTCCTGTCTTGGGCCAGGGACCATCCTGCTGGTGAGGAACACACATCCGCGTGCTCCCATCCTGCTTCCCCACATGGCCCTGAGCTCTCTGGCCTCTGCTTCGTGAGACTTACTTTTTTTGTCGGAGCACCAGCGATGAAGGAGAAAGAAGAGGAGGATGGTGAAAGGGATTTTGACCACTGAGGTCCCAATCAGAACATGTAGGTGTCTGGGGTTACCTGGAAGAAGAGGAGACACCAATAAGAAGCTAATCATAGCAGTTCCTCTTTATGAATTGTCTCGCATTTCTTGATTGGCAGGTAACCACATACAACGTCTCTTTAGGACAAGCACCCAAATGGCGGGAGACCTAGCTTTCCCCTGCTTTCTCAATTATAGCTCTCATAGTAACCATAGAACGTGCTGAGGATACAACTACTTTAGTTGAGATGTTTGACCCTTTCAAACCTCACATTGAAATTTCACCCCCATTGTGGGAGGTTGGGCCTCTTCAGAGGTGTTTGGGTCATGGAGGTGGATCCATCATGAACAGACCAATGCTGTCCCAAGGAGACGGGGTTAGCAAGTTCCCCCTCTGTTAGTTCCTGGAGAGCTGGTTGTTAAAAAGAGCTTGGAAGCTCCATCGCTCCCTCTCCCCCTTACTCTCTCTCTTGCCGTGTGATCTCTGCGGTCTCTGCACAGACAGACCCTCCTTCCCTTCTGCCAGAGTGGGAGCAGCCTGAGGCCATCACGAGAAATAGATTCTGGTGCCATGCTTCCAGTACAGCCTGCAGAACTGTGAGGCAAACCAATCTCTTTTCTTTAGAAGTTACCCAGGCTCAAGTGTTCCTTTAGAGCAACAAAAATGGACTAAGATAGCAACATCCTGAGATCAGGAGGAATGTCTCAGAACAGCCTGGGCTGTCTTCCTGTTCTTCCTGGAGGAGGACGTCATGCAGTGCTTTAGCTGAGTGCTTCCTGTGGCTCCAGGGTACAAAACCCAGGCTGGGCTGCTTTCTGGCTTCCCCCAGTTACACTGCAAATGGGGTGACTCCATATGTCCCGAGCAGCTTTTCTGAGCCTTGAGGGACTGGCTCACATTGAAATGCAGGCTTCTGTTGTCACTCACTGCTTATCTGTTAGTAATGAACCTGCCTATGTAACGTATTCTCTGTGTGTTCTGTCTCCCTGGAGTGACGGTGAGTGATAGGAATTGGCATAGGCCCAGGTGCAGTCCAGGATTTGTTTAGAGTCTTCTCTGGGAAGACTGCACTGGGATTGATACACAGCGAATGTGCTTTAGGATTTCTACATCCACAGCATTCTTGAGTCAAACAAATTGCATTCACCAAGGAAAGGAAACAAAGGTGAAATCACGATTAAAAATAGCGAAGCAAGATTCTCTTATGTCAAACAGCCAGAAAATAGTGTTGAAGCCCGTGTGAAATGTGCTGCTCTTTGTGATCTCGGGAGACACATGTTAGGCTGCTGTTCTACCCGAGAGGCTGGGGGAAGGACCACCCCCTCCACCATCTATTGCTTCAATACCACCTGTCCTCCTGTGAATTAGTAGGAAAGGGGAACAGGAGCTAGTGCTGTCGCTGATCTCTGATTCCAAGATCTGGACTCACTCCAAGGAGTATTAATGTTTCCTCCCCATGGTCTATCTGAATCTCCACAGGTGATTGGAAGTAGGGGTGAGGTGGGGGATTTGGGTGAGTGGGCAAGTTTTTTTTTGCGATGAACAGAGCACTTTCTCTATTCCAGGATCCGTGCTGGAGGATTCAGCGGGCTTTCACATTTTCTATGTGATCTCATGCTCACAGAAAGCCAAATAGGGAAGAGGTTTTAGGCTCATTGCCTAATGGATAAGATAAAGGATCAAAGAAGTAATTATAGAGAAATAGAAAAATGATGATTGGAATTCAGGTGCCTTTGTCATTCGTGTGTGTTTTATTATATTTATGCATTTCTTATTTTTATTTTTTGAGACGGAGTCTCCTTGTGTCACCCAGGCTGGAGTGCAGTGATGCAATCTCCACTCACTGCAACCTCCACCTCCTGGGTTGAAGTCATTCTCCTGCTTCATCCTCCAGAGTAGGAGCTGGGATTACAGGGATGCACCACCATGCTCGGCTAATTTTTGTATTTTTAGTACAGATAGGGTTTCACCATGTTGGCCAGGCTGGTCTGGAACTCCTGACTTCATGGAATCCACCCGCCTTGGCCTCCTGCAGTGCTGGGTTACAAGCGTGAGCCACCGTTCACAGACTTGTATATTACGCTATAATAGGTCTCTTCATTTCCACCACCCCTCATATATCTGTCACTCCTTTGCCAGGTATTGATTTATGTGTAGGATGAATAAATCTCAGAAAGAAATTAATTAAGCGAGGATTAAACAAGTAGGAAAATCAAACCCAGCAAGCCTTTCCAGCCAATGATTCTACCTCACAAGCATAGCTTATATCCATCTGCTTCATCCACTTAGTGTCAAAATCAGCACCACATTTCACCAGTGGGTCGGGAATTGCCTTTTCCACGGTCTCCTAGATTCCAGTTACGCCCCTGGGCCTCCTTTATTTTCATGTCAGTCATATTAATCATGTAGGGATTCCTGGTTACCCCGAGGTGAATCCAATGGCTGTGAGTGTCAAACACACACTCCTTGTTGCTCCTTAGTTTCCTGTGTACCCAGTGTGCTCTCCGTCTCTCCACAGTCGTCTTGTCATTCTCCCCACCTCATTCCCAGCATTTGAGGAAGAGCCTCTTCCTTCCACATCAGATTGTTTTCACCTTTGTGCCTTCACGGCTGACAGCTGTGTGTGCAAAATCCTTCCGCCAATCTTTCAGGGGTTCAATCCGTGTTTTTCATTAATGTCACAAATATCTGAATAGTGAGACCTTCTTTGTCACCTGAAATCATACACTCAGCATTATCTATTATTGATTTTGAATTCTGGCTGGGCACAGTGGCTCACGCCTGTAGTCCCATTACTTTGGCATGCTGAGACGGTCGGATCACTTGAGGTTGGGAGTTTCAGACAAGCTTGGCCAACGTGGTGAAACATCCTCTCTACAAAAAATATACAAAAAGAATTAGCCGGGCACGGTGGCAGTTGCCTGTAATCCCAGCTACTCGAGAGGCGGAGGCAGGAGAATCACTTGAATCCAGGAGAAGCAGGTTGCAGTGAGCCAAGATCGTGACACTGCACTGTAGCCTGGAAGACAGAGGGCAACTCTGTCTCAATAAACAAAAGAACAAACAAAAAATAGATTTCATGCACAGATGCTTCCCAATGGATCATTCATTTATAGATCCACTTGTGCATTCATTTTCTGCCCTCCCATTTAACCATCTGCAATATCAGTGTCCCAAGGGCAGAGGCCAAATGCATCTTGTTCACTGTTTGTGGAAGGCAGGAGAATGCTGTCCCACCCCAAAATGTCCCTGTCCTAGCCTCCATAGCTTGTGAATATGTTATTTTACATGGAAAGGAGGAATGAAGATTGCAGATGGAATTATGGTTACTAATCAGCTGAACTTAAAACAAGGGTATCCTGGATGATTTCCAGGAGATTATGAGGGATTTTCATCTTGGTGAACCCAATAGAATCCCCAAGTTTTCAAAAGATGAGGAAGAAGGGAGAGCAGCATTCAGAGAAAGAAGTGTGGTAAGGAAGAAGGCACTGAGTGATGCCATGTGAGATGTGACCAGTCTTTGTGGGCTTTGAGGAAGGAGGAAGGGGACCAGGAGCCAAGGAACTGGGAGCCTTTAGAAGCTGGGACAAGTGAGAAGCAGATTCGTGCCTGGAATCCTCAGAGGGAAGGCAGCCTTGCTGTCACCTTGATTTTAGCCCAGTAAGATGCACTTCCTACTTTGAGCTACAGCACTGTAAGATAATTAAAAAACCGTTTTGTTTTCACCCACGAATCTTGTGGAAATTTGTTATGGCAACAATAGGAAAAGGTTCCGCACTGCACAGCCTGAGCATGGGGCCGTGGCTGAATGAGTCAGTGAGTCGAAGTGTGTGTGCATGAGCTCTGTTCTCTGTTACGGCAAGGCTCTTGCTCTGCTGAGTCAGCCAGGGTTGCTTCATGACCTACAGGAGCTCATTCCTTGGCAAGTGGAACTTCTCTAAAACACCTCGCCCTCATCAGATGTTCCCTTCCCTTCCCTCTCTCAAGTCTCCAGGAATTTATCCTCCAGTTAGGAATGCAGGCAGAACAAACATTGCATTTTTCCTGAGAAGGATGTCAGATTGGCAATCATTCTTCTAGCTTGTAGGAGGTCTCAGCTCCATAAAATGAGAGATGAAGAGATTTCACTGAGCCCTGTGTTGGGCCCAGATCCCTTTCGCTGTAGGAGTATCTGGAGTTCGGAGATGGTGGAAGACAGGTGTACAATGTCAGAGCTGTGAGATGCTGAGTCAACGCCTGAATCCAAGGTTTCCACCTCCCCAGGTTTCCAAAAGCGGATATAAGAGGGTTCTGTACTCACCGGTTTCGGAGCTTGGTTCAGTGGGTGAAGGCCAACTATTTGAAGGGTTTCCTAGAACATGAGACAGGAGAGAGGTGAGGAAATGAGGGTTTCTGTCCTCCACTCAGTGGAAATCTTTGAGGATGGTTCATGGCCAACACTCTGTTATCTAATATTGGGCCCTGGGAGTCCTGGGATCCTTTTTTCCATAATTTTTTTATGTGACACCCACTGTCTTGAGACTTCAAGGTATAAAGAGAAAACAGGAGCATCACACTACCTGATCTCAAAATATGTTACAGAGCTGTAGTAAGCAAAATAGCATGACACTGGCATAAAGAAAGGCACATAGAACAACGGAGCAGAATGAATAACACAGATATATTCCATGCATTTACATCCAATGGTTTTTTATTTTTTCTTTTGAGATGGAGTCTTGCTCTGTCACTCAGGCTGGAGTGCAAAGGTGCAATCTCGGTTCACTGCAACCTCAGCCTCCTGGGTTCAATCATTCTCTTGCCTCAAACTCCTGAGTAGTGGTATTACAGGTGCTGACCACCATGCTCAGCTAATTTTTATATTTTTAGTGGAGATGATGTTTCATCACGTCGGCCAGACTAATCTTGAACTCCTGGCCTCAGGTGATCCACCCACCTCGGGCTCCCAAAGTGCTGAAATTGCAGGTGTTAGCCACCAAGCCCAGCCCATCCAATGGACTTTGACAAAGATGCCAAGAACTCACAATCAGGAAAGGACAGTCTTTTCAATAAACAGTGCAGGGAAACCTGGACATCTACATGCAGAGGAATGAAACTGCACCTCTACCTGTCACCATACACAAAAATCAAATGAAAATGGATTAAAGATGTGAGTCTAAGGCCTGAACCTATGAAACACGTAGAACAAAATATTGGGGAAATGCTCCAGGACATTTGTCTGAAGAAAGACATTTTGTTTTAAACCTTGAAAACACAAGTAATCGAAGCAAAAATAGACCATTGGGATTACCTCATACTAAGCAACTTCTGCACCGCTAAAAATAAACCAACAAAGTGAAGAGACAACCCACAGATTGGGAGCAAATATGTGCAAACTATGCATCTGAGATGGGATTAATAACTAGAAATATAAGAAGCTCAAACAACTCAATAAAACAAATGATTTAATTGAAAAAGGAGCAAAAGACATGAAATTTCCCCACATACGAAAAACTGCTCAGTATCACTCATCATCAGAGAAACGCAAATTAAATTCAAAGTGAGTTTTCATCTCACCCCATTAAAATGGCTTTTAGGCCGGGTGAGGTGGCTCACGTTTGTCATCCTAGAACTTTGAGAGCCTGAGGTGGGTGAATCTCATAAGGTCGGGAGTTTGAGACCAGTATGACCCACATAGAGAAACACTGTCTCTACTAAAAATACAAAAATTAGTCGGGCGTGGTGGCGTGTGCCTGTAATTCCAGCTACTCGGGAGGCTGAGGCAGGAGAATCGCTTGAACCTGGGAGGTGGAGGTTGTGGTGAGCCGAGATCGCGCCACTGCACTCCAGCCTGGGTGAGAAGAGCAAAACTCCATCTCAAAATAAAATGAAATAAAATAAAATGGCTTTTAGCTGCAAGACAGGCAAAAGAAATGCTGGCAAGGTGGTAGAGAAAGGAGAACCCTGGTACCCTGTTGGGAGGAGTGTAAATTAGTACAGCCATTACGGAGAAAAGTATGGAAGTCCTTTAAAGAACTAAAAAGAGGTTGGGTGCGGTGGATCATGCCTGTAATCCCGGCACTTTGGGAGACTGAGGCGGGCACCTCAGTTGAGGTCATGAGTTTGAGAGCAGCCCAGCCAACATGGGGAAACCCCATCTATACTAAAAAAACCAAAAAGTAGCCAGGCATGGTGGTGTGCACCTGTAATCCCAGCTACTAGGGAGGCTGAGGCAGGAAAATCATTTGAACCCAGGAGGCGTAGGTTGCAATGAGCCAAGGTCGCACCACTTTGACTCCAGCTTGGGCTAAGGAGGGAAACTCTTTCTCAAAAAAGAAAAAAAGAAAAAAAGAGAACTTTCATAGTATCCAGCAATTTCACTACTGGGTTTATATCCAAAGGAAAGTAAATCAATATATCGAAGTGATATCTGCACTCGTATGATTGGTGCAGCACTGTTCACAGTAGCCAAGATGAGGAGTCAACCTACCTGCCCATCAGTGGGTAAATGGATAGAGAGAATGTAGTACATACGCATAGTGGAGACTACTCATCCATAGAAAGAATAACATCCTGTCATTTGCAGCCACATGGATGGAACTGGAGGTCATTACAAAGATTCCCATTTCTCACCCATATACAGGAGCTAAAAGGTGGATCTCATGAAGGTAGAGAGTAGAATGGTGGCTACTGGAGGACAGGAAGAAAAGGGTGGAGGGTAAAAAAAATGTATATATATATATATGTATATAAATGTATTTATGACCACTAGACTTTACACTTAAAAATGGTAAATGTGGCTGGGCGCAGTGGCCCATGCCTGTAATCCCAGCACTTTGGGAGGCAGATGCGGGTGGATCACTTGGTCAGGAGTTCGAGACCAGCTCGACCAACATGGTGAAACCACCTCCCTACTAAAAATACAAAAAGTAGCCTGGCGTGGTGGTGCGTGCCTGTAGCACCAGCTACTCAGGTGGCTGAGGCAGGAGAATCGCTTGAACCCAGGAGGTGGAGGTTGCAGTGAGCTGAGATTGTGCCACTGCACTCCAGCATAGGGGACACAGCTAGACTCCACCTCAAAAAAAAATGTTAAAAGTGGTAAGCTATATAGGTATATTTATCCTCAATAAATATTTCTTCAAAGAAAAGTAAAGGGTGTAGGGGTTGCTGGTGATGACATCTCTGTGTGGGTGAGAGGCCAGGATGGGCTTCTGGGAAATGGGTAAGGTTGAGGGGCTGAGGGAACCTCTGATCTCCCCAAACTGAGCCCAGTCTCCCTCCTCTGGGTCTCTCCTGACCGCTTTCTCCATCTGCCTGGGTGCCTGGAGCCCTGGCCGTGGGCCTCCATGCAGGCCATGTAGGAGGGTTTGGAGGTGCCCTGTCGGCCATCCTGTGCCCTGATCCCTCCCTCACACCGAGGCTGCGTCTTCTCTCTGCATCTGTCCATGCTTCTCTCCATCATCAGCAGGAAGCTCCTCAGCTAAGGCTCTAGGATCATAGGACATGGGACAGCCATGGGCTTTCCTCACCTGTGACAGAAACAAGCAGTGGGTCACTTGACTTTGACCACTCGTATGGAGAGTCACGGAAAGAGCCGAAGCATCTGTAGGTCCCTCCATGGGTGGCAGGGCCCAGAGGAAAGTTGGCCTGGAATGTTCCGTTGACCTTGGTCCCTGCAGGGAGCCTACGTTCATGGGCCTCCCCTTCCCTGGATAGATGGTACATGTCATAGGAGCTCCGGGAGCTGCAGGACAAGGTCACATTCTCTCCTGCCAGAACCGTGGGGCCCGGCTGGGCTGAGAGAGAAGGTTTCTCATATAGACCTGGAAGGAGAAGAGGCAGTTTCCTCAGGGAGGATCTTCCTTGTCACAGCTCCCTTCACCTGAGCTGAGAACTCACTCCCCTGCTCTATGACCTAATGCTCTCTCTCTCTCTCTCTCACCCTCTACCCCATCGCTCTTCATGTCTATTTCCTCCTTCCACCTTCTCTGTCTCTTTAGGTCTCTGACCTCACTTCCCCACCTCTAGATATGTTTTCTCTTTTTGGATTGTTTTATTCTCTCTGACTCTCCTTGGATTGGTTGACTTGATGTTACTTTTTTTAATTCTGAGTTTCTCACTTTGTGTCCTGTTCATAACTTTCTGCATATTTCTATCTATTATCTATCGATCTATCTATTTATCTATTCGGTGCCTATCTACAAATTCTCTACCTGTCATCTATATCTATATATCATCTATTTATCCATCAATTGTCTATCTATCCATCAATCATCTATTATCTATATCTATGTATCATCTCTCTCTCTCTATGATTTCTCTATGTCTGCCTCTGTATCTCTATGTATTATCTATCTATCTGTCTTCATCATCATCATCTCTATGTCTCATCTATTAATGAATCAATCAATCATCATCTATGTATCTATAACCTATTATCTATCATCTACCTATTTATCATCTATCTATATCTATCCATCTATCATCTGTCTTGCTCTGCCTCTCGGTCTCTCTAGTTCTCTTTGGAATCTCTGCAATTCATCCCCACATCTCCATCTTTCAATGTCCTTGTGCCTCTCCCTCAGGAGTCTAATTTTAGTGCTTTTCTCTGCTCCCTTCCATCATTCTCACTTCTCTGCCCTCTTTTCTCTTTATGTGTCTGTGAGTCTCTCAATCTCCTTCCTCTGGCTCATTCTCTGTGTGTTTATGTCTTTGCTTTTTGGTGTCCCTGATTTCTCTCTGTGCCTCTCACTGATCCTCTCATAAGTGGGCTTATTTGGAATATGAGCCTCAGAATCCAGTCTGGAGACTACAAGTTCACACAGCATACAGGGGTTGGTGTTGTGGGGCCATGATATCCTGGGACGATTACTCTCCATTACATGGAAGGCAGAGGTGTCAGAATAAACATGGCATCTGTAGGTGCCACAAGGCCTGAGGCCACAGGGCCCAACTCAGGTCAGAAATATGGGTGTCCTTGGGTTCTCCTGGTAGAGAACACTTTGTGGAGGTAAAACAGAAATGAAACTTCTAACCTGTGCCAGGTCTCTGAGCAAAGTCAGCATGGAGGGACACCTCTCTCTGGGACATGTCTGTCTGTGTGTTTCCTTTAACTCTTTCTGTCTTTTCAAACTCCCGGTATGGCCCCTGTGTCTGTTCTCTGTTATGACACCTGGTCTCTACTTGTGTCTCCTGTTTCTCTGTCTCTGTTGGCACAGACCTCACCAAGTCAGTCTCTCTCCATAAGAATACCAAGCTCATCTTCCTTACAGCCACCTGGGCCTCCAAGTCCTGGATCATTCACTCTGCATCCCAATGACAATGAGAAGAAAGTCTGGACACTCTCACCTATGATCACGATGTCCAGAGGGTCACTGGGAGCTGACAACTGATAGGGGGAGTGAGTAACAGAACCGTAGCATCTGTAGGTCCCTGCCAGGTCTTGCTTCATGCGACTGATGGAGAAGTTGGCCTTGGAGACCCCATCATGGTGTTCTCCAATGAGGCGCAAAGTGTCGTTAAACATCCCCTCTCTGTGCAGAAGGAAGTGTTCAAACATGACATCTGACCAACATTGCAGGATGACTGTCTCTTCTGATTTCACCAGGCGACCTGGGTGGGCCAGGAGGGAAGGTTTTCTGTGGACTCCTAGGAAGAGAGGTTGTGAGTTTAGAAGGTGTCTCTCTTTATCATCCCATCCATGGCACCTGGATTGAGTCAGGCTTCCCCTTCCTGGTGTCTTATCTCTCTCCTTCCTCTCTGTGTCTTCATGTTCTTTTCTGTGCCCATAACTCCTGGTGCAGGTCCTTCCATCTGTCTCCCTCACTCTTCTCTGTCCCTCTGTCTCTAGTAGCCTCTGATTCCCTTGCCGCTGGGCTCAGCCTCATCTCTTGGGCTGTTGTATCTATTTCGAACTAATGTCTTTCCTGCTGTCTGTGTGGGGGTGGAAGAGGAACCAGGATAGGCTGCACATCCAGGCTCTTAGCAGCCTGGTTCAATCTCTTTTGGACGAATTGGAATCCTTGGCAGGAGGTATGAACTGATCAGTAAGGCAGGCACCAGTGGCCACACACCCTGTTCCTGGTAGGGACTGGGAGACACTCTTGCCATGCCAGTGCCAGCTTCCATAGCCTGGCTCCTGGTGCTGGTTGGAGGAGTATCAACCGCTCCCTATGTGGATGGAGCCTGGTGGTGGCATCATCATCCGAGCCTTGCTGATCTCAGTGTAGCCAACCTTCTCCTTGTTTGGTTTCTTTAATTAATTAATTAATTTTGGCGACAGAGTCTCACTCCTTTGCCCAGGCTGGAGTGAAGTGGTGTGGTCTAGGCTTACTGCAACCTCTGTCTCCTGGGTTCAAGTGATTCTCCTGCCCTCAGCCTCCCAAGTCGCTAGGATTACATGCACCTGCCACCATGCCTGGCTATCCTTGTGTTGTTTCTTAACTTGTCCTTGACCTGGGTTCCAGTGTTGGTTTCCTGTTGCTGCTGTAGAAAATTATCAGAAGCATGGCAGCAGGAGAGAGCACACTAACCCCTTCCAATTCTGGAGACAGAAATCGGACCCTGTTTGTCGTGGGTAAAATCAAGGTACCTGCAGGGCTTCGTTCCCTCTGGAGACTCAGGAGAATCAGTTCCTTGACTTTTCCAGCCTCTATAGGCCACCTGCATTCATGGCTCCTGGACTTCCTCCACCTTCAAAGCTGATGGAGACTCCCATTATGCTGCTGTAATCCCCACTCCCCTCTTCCTCCTCCTTTCCTGTGGACCCCTGTGACTACACTGAGCCCATCAGGACAGTCCAGGCTGTCTCCCCATCTCAAGGTCAACTCATCAACAACCTGAGCTCCATCTTCTCCTTCAGTCCCTTCCCCTATATCATAAATAGTCACAGACTCCAGGGATTAGAATGTAGTCATCACTGGGGACAATTATTCTTCCCACCACAGCACCCATTTCCCTGTATTCAATCCCCCTTTACCCCAAATACAGTCAGGACTTGCATGATGGGACCCGCAAGGACACGCCCACCAGGAGCTCTGGGATTCAGGAGGTGGGACAAGGAGAATCCCAGACAGGAGCCCTCTGACCTGTGACCGTGATCTCCAGGGGGTTGCTGGGTGCCGACCACCCACTGGGGTAGTGTGGTTGTGAACCCCGACATGTATAGGTCCCTGCGTGTGCTGGGGTCACAGGGCCCATGAAAAGGCTGTTCCAGAATATTATGTTGTAGAGCTCAGGGACAGGCACCCCATCTTCCTTTTACAGACTGAAGTTGTTAAACCCAAGATAAGAATGACACTGAAGAATCACATGTCCTGGAGGCACCACAGGGCTTGGCCAGGCAGACAGCAAGGGCTTGTCCTGACCACCGTGGGGAGAAGGAGGCACCGCCTTAGAGAGGAGGATGTGGAGCCGCCCCTCCCTCCCTGTGCTCTGAAGATTCTCCTCGCTTTCCAAGTTTCTATGGCTGCTATCACACCTTGGTGCCCAGGGCTAAAGGAAGGACCCATCCCGCAAACACAAGGTGTCTCCCTACAACAAAAGTGTCAGCTGAGAACTTTGAGCAAGTGCTGAGTAAGAGACTCCTACTAGATTTTAATACTGTAAGATTACTCACATAAAACAACACAGGGTAGACATGGGGTGGAGGGCATGTCCTTTGAGAATGGAATATCAGCCGATGCCTGAACGAAAATAAACAACTGAGTCCCCATCAGAGGATTGGAATGTCAGGGCCATGGCTGTGGTTTTCCCACCTCTTCTGGTAGAATGACAGCAGCCACACTGCAGCCCCTACCGTCATGGAAACGCTGAAGTGTGTGAGTAACACCTTTGTCCTCAGAGGATCTGCTGTTCCTACCACTTCCCCACCACACACCCCAGCTTTGAGCACCGTAGTCTAACCCTGGTCCCCACAGAACTTGACTCTGCCAAGGGAATGAAAGGCCAGGGAGGCAAGGTCAGAAATGTGGGCCCAGCACCCCAGGGTCCCTTCTTCCTAGTTTATGAGAGACTCCCTGACAGGACTTCCCTCCCATTTCAGGAAAATCCTCTTATGTGGGGAGATGACACCCGAAGGTTGGGAGAAGGACTCACCCTCATGTGGCCAGGCCCCCTGCAGCAAGAAGAACCCTGGAAAGAAAGATCATGATGGATGACCCATCTGCAGGCAAACCAGGGCACCCTTGCTGCCCCCACTGGGCTGTGAGTCTTGGTAGCCAGGCCCTTCCTGGGCTGAAGGTAAACTCACCCTCAGTGCCTACCTGCACCCAAGAACAGGGCTGTCGGCTGTGCAGAGACCCAGCCTCCAGGTCCATATCCCCACCTCAAGCCCATATCTCCACTCCAGGCCCATATCTCCACTCCAGGCCGATATTTCCACCCTAAGCCCATATCGCCAATCCAGGCCCATATCTCCAATCCAGGCTCAGATCTCCACCCTGGGCCCATATCTCCAATCCAGGCCCTTATCTCCACTCCAGGTCCATATCTCCTCTCCAGTCCCATATCTCCACTCCAGGCCCATATATCCTCTCCAGTCCCATATCTCCACACCCAGGCCCGTATCTCCATCCTAGGCACATATCTCCTCTCCAGGCCCAGATATCGACCTCTAGGCCCATATCTCCACTCCTGGCCCATATCTCCACTCCAGGCCCAGATATCGACCTCTAGGCCCATATCTCCACTCCTGGCCCATATCTCCACTCCAGGCCCATGTCTCCACTTCAGGCCCATATCTCTACTGCAGGCCCATAACTCCACCTCCAGGCCCATGACTCCACTCCAGGCCCATATCTCCACCTCCAGGCCCATATCTCCCCTCCAGGTTCCTATCTCCCCTCCAGGTTCCTATCTCCACTCCAGGCCCAGATCTCCACTACAGTCCCATCACTCCACCTCCAGGCCTATATCTCGACCTCTGGGCCCAGATCTCCACTTCTAGGCCCATCACTCCATCTCTAGGCCCATATATCCACTCCAGGCCCAGATCTCCACTCCAGGCCCATAACTCCACCTCCAGGCCTATATCTCCACCTCTGGGCCCAGATCTCCATCCCCTCACTCCCTCCCTCTATTGCTTTCCAGGACTCACCAACACACGCCATGCTGACGACCAAGAGCGACATGGTGCTGCCGGAGCAGACAGGCAGCCGCGACCGAGCTCAGCTCAGCAGCGCACAGGATGTTATTTGGCGCCCTGCCCATGCAGTTTACATGTTGACCACATCATGGGAGGGTGACGTACGCAGGCTCTTTCTACCTTGCATGAGGCCCAGTGGGTGCTCGCTCAAGAGCGGAACACGGCTTCCTGGAAATTGTTCTCGCTAGAATTTGACACCTAGTGTCCTTCACTATGACCAACTCAAAACACGTCTGAGATCCAACCTCCCGAACACGAGATGCCTAAAATCTGTGCTAACATGAAAGACTTTTCATGTATTTCTATTGTTTTTATCTGAGATTCAAACTCTTCTTCCTGTGTAATATGCAAAATATCTAATAGGTATTATTAATGTTTTCAGAGTCATTGTCACTAATAAACCATTAGAATTTTTCATGCTTGTATTTCTAGTATTACAGCAGAACCAGTTAAAATGATTTAAATTCCCAGGGAAGGATTATGCAATTATTTACAATCTTAGAATTGTACTTTATCAGTAAAAACCCCACCTGTAAATTCTGGAGTTTTGTAGTTTAATCTAAAATTTGTCTCATGACCCAAGATTCCAGAGTCCCAACTCTGGAGTTTGTTTTCCGTCTGTCTCTCTCCCTCCCTCATTTTAAATTTTACAGAAATATCCAGTAACATAATGCTATAGAAAATCAAGTTTCCCCAGCACGTTGGGAAGCCGAGGTGGGCGGATCAACTGAGATAAGGAGTTTGAGAGCAGCCTGGCCAATATAGTGAAACCGTGTCTCTGCTAAAAATCCAAAAATTAGCCGTGCCTGGTGGCAGGCACCTGTAACGCCAGCTACTCAAGAGGCTGAGGCATGAGAATCGCTTGAACCTGGGAGGCAGAAGTTGCAGTGAGCTGAGATTGTGTCACTGCAGTCCAGCCTGGGCGACAGAGCAAGACTCCGCCTCAAGAAAAAAAAGCAAATAGCCTATAATAACAAATTAGAGAGCTCTGGCTACTAAATTTAAAGGGTTCTATAAGGCTACATAAAGTGCAGCATCATCAAGAGTGTGGACACAGAGAGCCCCTTAGCAGAAACAGTGTCTAAAGTACATCCGTGTACACACAGTCCCTTTAGAGTTGACAAAGGCTGCCGTGTGGTTTAAGGTGGCATAGAATGTCTTCTCAATAAATAATATTAAACCAATGGGTTATACCTAGGAAAAAATAAATCTAACTCACACTATAAAAACACTTCTTAGTTTTTATCTAGTTGTACATTTTTTATGATTTATATTTAAATTTGAGAAATAAAAGTCATATACGGTCATCCTTCACTATTCGTGGGTGATTGGTTTCGAGATCTCCACTCAGATACCAAAATCTGTAGATGCTCAAGCCTCTTATATGAAATGGCACAGAGTTTGCAAATAACCTATGCACATCCTCCTGTATACATGAAATCATCTCTAGATTACTTATAATTCCTGATGCAGCCTACACACAGCTTCATTTGTGTCCATTCAACACAGTTCTGCTTTTTGTAACTCTGTGGATACTTTCTCTGAATATTTTTGATTTATACTCGGTTCAATAAAGAACTGTAAACCCCACAGATATGGAGGAGTGACTGTATATTTATAGTGTGAAAGATGATGTGTTGATATGTGTCCCTGTGTAGATGAGACTAACAAGGCCTATGATTCTACAAATGTTTCATCTTGGAATGACTCTGCCAGATTTCCAGGTCTGCAGAGAGTAAGAATATCACTTGTTCATGTGATTCACGATCCTTGGAACCTCCTATGTGCTACATCTTTGGATGGAAATAGGAGTCCCAGAGACAAATGAGGCTCCACCCTGCTTCCAGAAACTCAGAGTCCGGGGGTGAGAACCCAGTGGAGAACAGATGGGGTTATGTGGACATGGTAATGATAATGGAAGTCTTAGGCAAGAAAAGAGTCCCATTACCGAAACCATGAGGGCAGACATGTTTATTTGAAGGAGGGAAAACTACATTGAAATTATTTTAAAAAATATATAAGTTTTACTGCTGACAGAAGGCTGAAAGATACTCTGAGGGGAGGTGGAACAGCATGAGGGAAGGTGGAACAGGACGTGTCTAAGTGCCGTGTTAAGAGGGAGCCTCTTGTATGTTTGGAACTGTGAGTTCCTCAGTGTGATTGCAGCCTCAAGTAGACTAGGAAGTAAGCCAGTAAGGTTGGAGAGGTGGGCAGGGGTCAAGTGAAATGGAGAATTGTGGGCTAAGCAAAGGAGTGTGTTTTCTCTCCAGCAGGCAGTGGGGACCTTAGACATTTGTAAGCAAGAGAGAGGCACATTCAGATTTGTGGTGTGAGGAAGAGCGATGCCCTAAGATGCAGACTCACGCCTTCAGATTCCAGCTGCTGGTACATGGGAGCTGGCAACCCGGTTTTGAGACAGGGCTGTTGTCTCCCTAGAAGATCCCCTCAAGGCCTGACTGTGGTGCTCATGGGCAGGAGACAACTTTGGATCTGGACTCAGCATTTGGAAGTTCCGTGTACACTCTGGTATCTGTTGGGGGTGTCTTGGGCCTCTGAGAAGGGCGAGTGATTTTTCTCTGTGTGAAAACGCAGTGATCCAACTGTACGTATGTCACCTCCTGAGGGTCTTGTTCATCAGAGTCCTGGAGAGAGGGAAATCCTGAGTGAGGGAGGGTGCTCACGTTTTCCAGGACTGTTTGGGAATAACACTAGCCACGAGGCTGGGCCGAGGAGCACCTACCTCGCTATTCGCTGTTCTGTTCCCTGCAGGCTCTTGGTCCATTACAGCAGCATGTGTAGGAGACGGAAGTCAACAAAAGAGCTCGGAGGGCACTTCTGGGTCCTCATTTCATAAGCAGATACCAACAAACAGGGGGAGGCCATAGGTGCCTGAGGTCCCTCAGTTGCCAACAGCAGACTCAGACATTCTATCTCTCTGAGCTCAAGGACCCATCCCATGAATAGCTCTGAGTTCCCATCCCATTGATTCTGTCTCCCACTTTCTGCCTGTCATGGAACCTTCTCCTGGATGTGAGTGGCTGCAGGGGACATGAGGATACAGTTCAGAATCAGGCAACGGTCTGTGAGCTGAAAGCAGGGACAGGGAGTCTGGTGCCCTCTCTAGAAAGTCCTGCCTCTGTGGCTGCTGCCTTGGGCCAGGGACCATCCTACCTGTGAGGAACACACACCTGAGTGCTCCCATCCTGCTTCCCCACATGGCCCTGAGCTCTCTGGCCTCTCCTTCGTGAGACTTACTTTTCTTGTTGGAGCACCAGCGATGAAGGAGAAAGAAGAGGAGGAGGATGAAGAGGATGATGACCACTGAGGTCCCAATCAGAACGTGCAGGTGTCTTGGGTTACCTGGAAGAAGATGAGACACCAATAAGAAGCTAATCATAGCAGTTCCTCTTTATGAATTGTCTCGCATTTCTTGATTGACAGGTAACCACGTAAAACACCTCTTTAGGACAAGCACCCAGATGGCGGGAGACCCAGCTTTCTCCTGCTTTCTCAGTTATAGCTCTCAAAGTAACCATAGAATGTGCTGAGGACACAACTACTTTAGTTGAGATGTTTGACCCCTTCAAACCTCACATTGAAATTTCACCCCCATTGTGGGAGGTTGGGCCTCTTGAGAGGTGTTTGGGTCATGGAGGTGGATCCATCATGAACAGATCAATGCTGTCCCAAGGAGACGGGGTTAGCTAGTTCCCCCTCTATTAGTTCCTGGAGAGCTGGTTGTTCAAAAGAACTTGGAAGCTCCATCGCTCCCCCTCCCCCTTGCTCCCTCTCTTGCCGTGTGATCTCTGTGGTCTCTGCACAGACAGACCCTCCTTCCCTTCTGCCAGAGTGGGAGCAGCCTGAGGCCATCACGAGAAATAGATGCTGGTGCCATGCTTCCAGTACAGCCTGCAGAACGGTGAGGCAAACCAATCTCTTTTCTTTAGAAGTTGCCCAGGCTCAAGTGTTCCTTTAGAGCAACAAAAATGGACTAAGACAGCAACGTCCTGAGATCAGGAGGAACGTCCCAGAGCAGCCTGGGCTGTCTTCCTGTTCTTCCTGGAGGAGGACGTCATGCAGTGCTTTAGCTGAGTGCTTCCTGTGGCTCCAGGGTACAAAACCCAGGCTGGGCTGCTTTCTGGCTTCCCCCAGCTACACTGCAAATGGGGTGACTCCATATGTCCCGAGCAGCTTTTCTGAGCCTTGAGGGACTGGCTCACATTGAAATGTAGGCTTCTGTTTTCACTCGCTGCTTATCTGTTAGTAATGAACCTGCCTATGTAACGTATTCTCTGTGTGTTCTGTCTCCCTGGAGTGACGGTGAGTGATAGGAATTGGCGTAGGCCCAGGTGCAGTCTAGGAGGTGTTTAGGGTCTTTTCTGGGAAGACTGCACTGGGATTGACACACAGCGAATGTGCTTTAGGATTTCTACATCCACAGCATTCTTGAGTCAAACAACTTGCGTTCTCCAAGGAAAGGAAACAAAAGTGAAATCAAGATAAAAAAGCGAAATAGAGTTATCTTATGTCCAACAGCCAGGAAATCGTGTTGAAGCCCCTGTGAAACGTCCTACTCTTTGTGATCTCGGGAGACACATGTTAGGCTGCTGTTCTACCTGAGAGGCTGGGGGAAGGACCACCCCCTCCACCATCTATTGCTTCAATACCACCTGTCCTCCTGTGAATTAGTAGGAAAGGGGAGCAGGAGCTAGTGCTGGTGCTGATCTCTCATTCCAAGATCTGGACTCACTCCAAGGAGTATTAATGTTTACCTCCCCATGGTCTATCTGAATCTCCACAGGTGATTGGAAGTAGGGGTGAAGTGGGGGATTTGAGTGAGAGGGCAAGTTTTTTTTGTGATGAACAGAGCACTTTCTCTATTCCACGATCTGTGCTGGAGGATTCAGCAGGCTTTCACATTTTCTATATGGTCTCATGCTCACAGAAAGCCAAATACGGAAGAGGTTTTAGGCTCATTGCCTAATGGATAAGACAAAGGATCAAAGAAGTAATTATAGAGAAATACAAAAATGATGATTGGAATTCAGGTGCCTTTGTCATTCGTGTGTGTTTTATTATATTTATGCATTTCTTATTTTTATTTTTTGAGACGGAGTCTCCTTGTGTCACCCAGGCTGGAGTGCAGTGATGCAATCTCCACTCACTGCAACCTCCACCTCCTGGGTTGAAGTCGTTCTCCTGCTTCATCCTCAAGAGTAGGAGCTGGGATTACAGGGATGCACCACCATGCTCGGCTAATTTTTGTATTTTTCATAGAGACAGGGTTTCACCATTTTGGCCAGGCTGGTCTGGAACTCCTGACTTCAAGTGATCCACCCGCCTTGGCCTCCTGCAGTGCTGGGAATTGCCTTTTCCACGGCCTGAGCATGGGGCCGTGGCTGAATGAGTCAGTGAGTCGAAGTGTGCGTGCATGAGCTCCGTTCTCTGTTAAGGCAAAGCTCTTGCTCTGCTGAGTCAGCCAGGGTTGCTTCATGACCAACAGTAATTCATTCCTGGGCAAGTGGAACTTCTCTAAAACACCTCGCCCTCATCAAATGTTCCCTACCCTTCCCTCTCTCAAGCCCCCAGGAATTTATCCTCCAGTTAGGAATGCAGGCAGAACAAACATTGCATTTTTCCTGAGAAGGATGTCAGATTGCCAATCATTTTTCTAGCTTGTAGGAGATCTCAGCTCCATAAAATGAGAGATTAAGAGATTTCACAGAGCCCTGTTTTGGGTCCAGATCCCTTTCGCTGTTGGAGTATCTGGAGTTTGGAGATGGTAGAAGACAGGCGTACAATGTCAGAGCTGTGAGATGCTGAGTCAACGCCTGAATCCAAGGTTTCCACCTCCCCAGGTTTCCAAAAGCGGATATAAGAGGGTTCTGTACTCACCGGTTTTGGAGCTTGGTTCAGTGGGTGAAGGCCAACTATTTGAAGGGTTTCCTAGAACATGAGACAGGAGAGAGGTGAGGAAATGAGGGTGTCTGTCCTCTACTCAGTGGAAATCTTTGAGGTTGGTTCATGGCCAACACTCTGTTATCTAATATTGGGCCCTGGGAGTCCTGGGATCCTTTTTTCCGTAATTTTTGTATGTGACGGCTACTGTCTTGAGACTTCAAGGTATAAAGAGAAAACAGGAGCATCACACTACCTGATCTCAAAATATGTTACAGAGCTGTAGTAAGCAAGACAGCATGACGTTGGCATGAAGAAAGGCACATAGAACAACGGAGCAGAATGAATAACACAGATATAATCCATGCATTTACCTCCAATGTATTTTTTGTTTTTCTTTTGAGATGGAGTCTTGCTCTGTCACCCAGGCTGGAGTGCAGAGGTGCAATCTCGGTTCACTGCCACCACAGCCTCCTGGGTTCAATCACTTCTCTTGCCTCAAACTCCTGAGTAGTGGTATTACAGGTGCTGACCACCATGCTCAGCTAATTTTTATATTTTTAGTGGAGACGATGTTTCATCACGTTGGCCAGACTAATCTTGAACTCTTGGCCTCAGGTGATCCACCCACCTCGGGCTCCCAAAGTGCTGAAATTGCAGGTGTCAGCCACCATGCCCAGCCCATCCAATGGACTTTGACAAAGGTGCCAAGAACTCACAATCAGGAAAGGACAGTCTTTTCAATAAACAGTGCAGGGAAACCTGGACATCGACATGCAGAGGAATGAAACTGCACCTCTGCCTGTCACTATACACAAAAATCAAATGAAAATGGATTAAAGATGTGAGTCTAAGGCCTGAACCTATGAAACACGTAGAAGAAAATATTGGGGAAATGCTCCAGGACGTTTGTCTGAAGGAAGACATTTTGTTTTAAACCTTCAAAACACAAGTAATCGAAGCAAAAATAGACCATTGGGATTACCTCAAACTAAGCAACTTCTGCACCGCTAAAAATAAACCAACAAAGTGAAGAGACAACCCACAGATTGGGAGCAAATATGTGCAAACTATGCATCTGAGATGGGATTAATAACTAGAAATATAAGAAGCTCAAACAACTCAATAAAACAAATGATTTAATTGAAACAGGAGCAAAAGACATGAAATTTCCCCACATACGAAAAAGTGCTCAGTATCACTCATCATCAGAGAAACACAAATTAAAATCAAAGTGAGTTTTCATCTCACCCCATTAAAATGGCTTTTAGGCCGGGCGTGGTGGCTCACGTCTGTCATCCTAGAACTTTGAGAGCCTGAGGTGGGTGAATCTCATAAGGTCGGGAGTTTGAGACCAGTCTGACCCACATGGAGAAACACTGTCTCTACTAAAAATACAAAAATTAGTCGGGCGTGGTGGCGTGTGCCTGTAATTCCAGCTACTCGGGAGGCTGAGGCAGGAGAATCGCTTGAACCTGGGAGGTGGAGGTTGTGGTGAGCCGAGATCGCACCACTGCACTCAGCCTGGGTGACAAGAGCGAAACTCCATCTCAAAATAAAATGAAATAAAATAAAATGGCTTTTAGCTGCAAGACAGGCAAAAGAAATGCTGGCAAGGTGTTAGAGAAAGGAGAATCCTGGTATCCTGTTGGTAGGAGTGTAAATTAGTACAGCCATTACGGAGAAAAGTGTGGAAGTCCTTTAAAGAACTAAAAAGAGGTTGGGTGAGGTGGATCATGCCTGTAATCCCGGCACTTTGGGAGACCGAGGCGGGCACCTCAGTTGAGGTCATGAGTTTGAGAGCAGCCCAGCCAACATGGGGAAACCGCATCTATACTAAAAAAAACAAAAAGTAGCCAGGCATGGTGGCGTGCGCCTATAATCCCTGATACTAGGGAGGCTGAGGCAGGAAAATCATTTGAACCCAGGAGGCAGAGGTTGCAATGAGCCAAGATGACATCACTTGTACTCCAGCCTGGGCACAGAGGGAAACTGTCTCAAAAACAAAAACAAAACAACAAACGAAAAACTAAAAAGAGAACTTTCATAGTATCCAGCAATTTCACTACTGGGTTTATATCCAAAGGAAAGTAAATCAATATATCGAAGTGATATCTGCACTCGTATGATTGGTGCAGCACTCTTCACAGTAGCCAAGATGAGGAGTCAACCTACCTGCCCATCAGTGGGTGAATGGATAGAGAGAATGTGGTACATTTGCATAGTGGAGACTACTCTTCCATAGAAAGAAAAACATCCTGATATTTGCAGCCACATGGATGGAACTGGAGGTCATTACAAAGATTCCCATTTCTTACCCATATACAGGAGCTAAAAGGTGGATCTCATGAAGGTAGAGAGTAGAATGGTGGCTACCAGAGGCCAGGAAGAAAAGGGTGGAGGGTAAAAAAAAATATGTGTATATATATATATATTAATGTATTTATGACCACTAGACTTTACACTTAAAAATGGTAAATGTGGCTGGGCGTGGTGGCTCATGCCTGTAATCCCAGCACTTTGGGAGGCTGATGCGGGTGGATCACGTGGTCAGGAGTTCGAGACCAGCTTGACCAACATGGTGAAACCCCCTCTCTACTAAAAATACAAAAAGTAGCCTGGCATGGTGGTGCGCGCCTGTAGCACCAGCTACTCAGGTGGCTGAGGCAAGAGAATCGCTTGAACCCAGGAGGCGGAAGTTGCAGTGAGCTGAGATTGTGCCAATGCACTCCAGCATAGGGGACAGAGCTAGACTCCGCCTCAAAAAAAAAATGTTAAAGGTGGTAAGCTATATAGGTATATTTATCCTCAATAAATATTTCTCAAACAAAAGTAAAGGGTGTAGGGGTTGCAGGTGATGACATCCCTGTGTGGGTGGGAGGCCAGGATGGGCTTCTGGGAAATGGGTAATGTTGAGGGGCTGAGGGAACCTCTGATCTTCCCAAACTGAGCCCAGTCTCCCTCCTCTGGGTCTCTCCTGACCGCTTTCTCCATCTGCCTGGGTGCCTGGAGTCCTGGCCGCAGGCCTTCATGCAGGCCATGTAGGAGGGTTTGGAGGTGCCCTGTCTGCCATCCTGTGCCCTGATCCCTCCCTCACACCCAAGCTTCGTCTTCTCTCTGCATCTGTTCATCCTTCTCTCCATCCTCAGCAGGAAGCTCCTCAGCTAAGGCTCTAGGATCATAGGACATGGGACAGCCATGGGCTTTCCTCACCTGTGACAGAAACAAGCAGTGGGTCACTCGAGTTTGACCACTCGTAGGGAGAGTCACGGAAAGAGCCGAAGCATCTGTAGGTTCCTCCGTGGGTGGCAGGGCCCAGAGGAAAGTCAGCCTGGAATGTTCCGTTGACCTTGGGCCCTGCAGAGAACCTACGTTCATGGGCCTCCCCCTCCCTGGATAGATGGTACATGTCATAGGAGCTCCGGGAGCTGCAGGACAAGGTCACGCTCTCTCCTGCCAGAACCGTGGGGCCCGGCTGGGCTGAGAGAGAAGGTTTCTCATATAGACCTGGAAGGAGAAGAGGCATTTTCCTTACGGAGGATCTTCCTTGTCACAGCTCCCTTCACCTGAGCTGAGAACTCACTCCCCTGCTCTATGACCTAATGCTCTCTCTCTCTCTCTCTCTCACCCTCCACCCCATCTCTCTTCATGTCTATTTCCTCCTTCCACCTTCTCTGTCTCTCTAGGTCTCTGACCTCGCTTCCACACCTCTAGATATGTTTTCCCTTTTTGGATTGTTTTATTCTCTCTGACTCTCCTTGGATTGGTTGACTTGATGTTACTTTTTTAAATTCTAAGTTTCTCACTTTGTGTCCTGTTCATAACTTTCTGCATATTTCTATCTATTATCTATCGATCTATCTATTTATCTATTCGGTGCCTATCTACAAATTCTCTACCTGTCATCTATATCTATATATCATCTATGTATCTATCACTTGTCTATCTATCCATCAATCATCTGTTATCTATATCTATGTATCATCTCTCTCTCTATGACTTCTGTCTGCCTCTCTATCTCTATGTATTATCTATCTGTCTTCATCATCATCATCTCTATGTCTCATCTATTAATGAATCAATCAATCATCATCTATGTATCTTTAACCTATTATCTATCATCTACCTATTTATCATCTATCTATATCTATCCATCTATCATCTGTCTTGCTCTGCCTCTCGGTCTCTCTAGTTCTCTTTGGAATCTCTGCAATTCATCCCCACATCTCCATCTTTCTATGTCCTTGTGCCTCTCCCTCAGGAGTCTAATTTTAGTGCTTTTCTCTGCTCCCTTCCATCATTCTCACCACTCCTCTGCCCTCTTTTCTCTCTCTTTATGTGTCTGTGAGTCTCTCAATCTCCTTCCTCTGGCTCATTCTCTGTGTGTTTATGTCTTTGCTTTTTGGTGTCCCTGATTTCTCTCTGTGCCTCTCACTGATCCTCTCATAAGTGGGCTTATTTGGAATATGAGCCTCAGAATCCAGTCTGGAGACCACAAGTTCACACAGCATACAGGAGTTGGTGTTCTGGGGCCATGATATCCTGGGACGGTTACTCTCCATTACATGGAAGGCAGAGGTGTCAGAATAAACACGGCATCTGTAGGTGCCACAAGGCCTGAGGCCACAGGGCCCAACTCAGGTCAGAAATATGGGTGTCCTTGGGTTCTCCTGGTAGAGAACACTTTGTGGAGGTAAAACAGAAATGAAACTTCTAACCTGTGCCAGGTCTCTGAGCAAAGTCAGCATGGAGGGACACCTCTCTCTGGGACATGTCTGTCTGTCTGTCTCCTTTAACTCCTTCTGTCTTTTCTAACTCCCGGTATGGCCCCTGTGTCTGTCCTCTGTTATGACACCTGGTCTGTACTTGTGTCTCCTGTTTCTCTGTCTCTGTTGGTACAGACCTCACCAAGTCAGTCTCTCTCCATAAGAATACCAAGCTCATCTTCCTTACAACTACCTGGGGGTTCCAAGTCGTGGATCATTCACTCTGCATCCCAATGACAATGAGAAGAATGTCCGGACACTCTCACCTGTGATGACGATGTCCAGAGGGTCACTGGGAGCTGACAACTGATGGGGGAGTGAGTAACAGAACCGTAGCATCTGTAGGTCCCTGCCAGGTCTTCCATCATGGGACCGATGGAGAAGTTGGCCTTGGAAACCCCATCATGGTGCTCTCCAGTGAGGTGCAAAGTGTCGTTAAACTTCCCTTCTCTGTGCAGAAGGAAGTGCTGAAACCTGACATCTGACCAACATTGCAGGATGACTGTCTCTTCTGATTTCACCAGGGGACCTGGGTGGGCCAGGAGGGAAGGTTTTCTGTGGACTCCTAGGAAGAGAGGTTGTGAGTTTAGAAGGTGTCTCTCTTTATCATCCCATCCATGGCACCTAGAATGAGTGAGGCTTCCCCTTGCTGGTGTCTGTCTCTCTCCTTCCTCTCTGTGTCTTCATGTTCTTTTCTGTGCCCATAACTCCTGGTGCAGGTCCTTCCATCTGTCTCCCTCCCTCTTCTCTGTCCCTCTGTCTCTAGTCGCCTCTGATTCCCTTCCCACTGGGCTTAGCCTCATCTCTTGGGGTGTTGTATCTATTTCACACTAATGTCTTTCCTGCTGTTTATGTGGGGGTGAAAGAGGAACCAGGATAGGCTGCACATCCAGCCTCTTATCAGCCTGGTTCAATCTCTTTTGGATGAATTGGAATCCTTGGCAGTAGGTATGAACTGATGAATAAGGCAGGCACCAGTGTCCACACACCCTGTTCCTGGTCGGGACTGGGAGCCACTCTTGCCATGCCTGTGCCTTCTCCATGGTGCCAGCTTCCATAGGCTGGCTCCTGGTGCTGGTTTGAGGAGTATCAACCCCTCCCTATGTGGATGGAGCCTGGTGGTGGCATCATCATCCCACACTTGCTCATCTCGGTGTAGCCAACCTTCCCCTTGTTTGGTTCCTTTAATTAATTAATTAATTATGGAGACAGAGTCTCACTCCTTCACCCCAGCTGGAGTGAAGTGGTGTGGTCTAGGGTCACTGCAACCTCTGTCTCCTGGGTTCAAGTGATTCTCCTGCCCTCAGCCTCCCAAGTCGCTAGGATTACATGCGCCTGCCACCACACCCGGCTATCCTTGTGTTGTTTCTTACCTTGTCCTTGACCTGGGTTCCAGTGTTGGTTTCCTGTTGCTGCTGTAGAAAATTATCAGAAGCATGGCAGCAGGAGAGAGCACACTGACCCATTTCACTACTGGAGACAGAAATAGGACCCTGTTTTTCCTGGGCTAAAATCAAGGCATCTGCAGGGCTTCGTTCCCTCTGGAGACTCTGGAGAATCATTTCCTTGACTTTTCCAACCTCTACAGGCCACCTGCATTCATGGCTCCTGGCCTTCCTCCACCTTCAAAGCTGGTGGAGTCTCCCATTGCGCTGCTCTAATCCCCACTCCCCTCTTCCTCCTCCTTTCATGTGGACCCTTGTGATTACACTGAGCCCAGCGGGACAGTCCAGGCTGTCTCCCCATCTCAAGGTCAACTCATCAACAACCTGAGCTCCATCTTCCCCTTCAGTTCCTTCCCCTATAACATAAATAGTCACAGACTCCAGGGATTAGAATGTAGTCATCACTGGGGACAATTATTCTTCCCACCACAGCACCCATTTCCCTGTATTCAATCCCCCTTTACCCCAAATATAGTCAGGGCCTGGGTGATGGGACCCTCAAGGACACGCCCACCAGAAGCTCTGGGATTCAGGAGGTGGGAAAGGAGAATCCAAGACAGGAGCCCTCTGACCTGTGGCCATGATCACCAGGGTGTTGCTGGGTGCCGACCACCCACTGGGGTAGTGTGGGTGTGAACCCCGACATCTGTACGTCCCTGTGTGTGCTGGGGTCACAGGGCCCATGAAAAGGCTCTTCCAGAATATTCTGTTGTAGAGCTCAGTGCCAGGCACCCCATCTTCCTTTTACAGACTGAAGTTGTTAAACCCAAGATAAGAATGACACCGAAGAATCACATGTCCTGGAGGCACCACAGAGCTGGGCCAGGCAGACAGCAAGGGCTTGTCCTGACCACCTTGGGGAGAAGGAGGCACCGCCTTAGAGAGGAGGATGTGGAGCCACCCCTCCCTCCCTGTGCTCTGAAGATTCTCCTCGCTTTCCAAGTTTCTATGGCTGCTATCACACCTTGGTGCCCAGGGCTAAAGGAAGGACCCATCCCGCAAACACAAGGTGTCTCCCTACAACAAAAGTGTCAGCTGAGAACTTTGAGCAAGTGCTGAGTAAGAGACTCCTACTAGATTTTAATACTGTAAGATTACTCACATAAAACAACACAGGGTAGACATGGGGTGGAGGGCATGTCTTTGAGAATGGAATATCAGCAGATGCCTGAATGAAAATAAGCAACTGAGCCCCCATCAGAGGATTTGGAATGTCAGGGCCATGGCTGTGGTTTCCCACCTCTTCTGGTGGAGTGACAGCAGCCACACTGCAGCCCCTACCGTCATGGAAACGCTGAAGTGTGAGTAACACCTTTGTCCTCAGAGGATCTGCTGTTCCTACCACTTCCCCACCACGCACCCCAGCTTTGAGCACCCCAGTCTAACCCTGGTCCCCACAGAACTTGACTCTGCCAAGGGAATGAAAGGCCAGGGAGGCGAGGTCGGAACTGTGGGCCGAGCACCCCAGGGTCCCCTCTTCCTAGTTTATGAGAGGCTCCCTGACAGGACTTCCCTCCTGTTTCAGGAAAATCCTCTTATGTGGGGAGATGACACCCTAAGGTTTGGAGAAGGACTCACCCTCATGTGGCCAGGCCCCCTGCAGCAAGAAGAACCCTGGAAAGAAAGATCATGATGGACGATCCATCTGCAGGCAAACCAGCCCTCCCTTGCTGCCCTCACTGGGCTGTGAGTCTTGGTAGGCAGGCCCTTCCTGGACTGAAGTTAAACTCACCCTCAGTGCCTACCTGCACCCAAGAACAGGGCTGTCGGCTGTGCAGAGACCCAGCCTCCAAGCCCAGATCCCCACCACAAGCCCATATCCCCACCACAAGCCCATATCTCCACTCCAGGCCAATATTTCCACCCTAGGCCTGTATCTCCACTCCAGGCCCATATCTCCACTCCAGGCCGATATTTCCATCATAGGCCCATATCGCCAATCCAGGCCCATATCGCCAATCCAGGCCAAGATCTCCACTGTAAGCCCATATCTCCAATCCAGGCCCATATCTCCACTCCAGGCTCAGATCTCCAACCTAGGCCCATATCTCCAATCCAGGCCCATATCTCCACACCAGGCCCATATCTCTACTGAAGGCCAGTAACTCCACCTCCAGGCCCATATCTCCACTCCAGGCCCAGATCTCCACCCCAAGCCCATATCTCCACCCCAGGCCCATATCTCTACTGAAGGCCCGTAACTCCACCTCCAGGCCCATATCTCCACCCCAGGCCCAGATCTCCACCCCAAGCCCATATCTCCACTCTAGGCCCATATCTCCTCTCCAGTCCCATATCTCCACAACCAGGCCCATATCTCCATCCTAGGCCCATATTTCCACTCTAGGCCCAGATATCCACCTCTAGGCCCATATCTCCACTCCTGGCCCAAATCTCCACTCCAGGCCCATATCTCTACTATAGGCCTATAACTCCACCTCCAGGCCCATATCTCCACTCCAGGCTCCTATCTCCCCTCCAGGTTCCTATCGGCACTCCAGGCCCAGATCTCCACTTCTAGGCCCATCACTCCATCTCTAGGCCCATATATCCACTCCAGGCCCAGATCTCCACTCCAGGCCCACAACTCCACCTCCAGGCCTATATCTCCACCTCTGGGCCCAGATCTCCAACCCCACACTCCCTTCCTCTATTCCCTTCCAGGACTCACCAACACACGCCATGCTGACGACCGTGAGCGACATGGTGCTGCCGGTGCAGACAGGCGGCCGTGCCCCAGCTCAGCTCAGCAGCGCACAGGATGTTATTTGGCGCCCTGCCCATGCAGTTTACATGTTGACCACATCATGGGAGGGTGACGTACGCAGGCTCATTCTACCTTGCATGAGGCCCAGTGGGTGCTCGCTCAAGAGCGGAACACGGCTTCCTGGAAATTGTTCTCACTAGAATTTACACCTAGCGTCCTTCACTATGACCAACTCAAAACACGTCTCAGATCCAACCTCCTGAACACGAGATGCCTAAAATCTGTGCTAACGTGAAAGACTTTTCATGTATTTTTATTGTTTTTATCTGAGATTCAAACTCTTCTTCATGTGTAATATGCAAAATATTTAATAGGTATTATTAAGGTTTTCAGAGTCATTGTGACTAATAAACCATTAGAATTTTTCATGCTTGTATTTCTAGTATTACAGCAGAACCAGTTAAAATGATTTAAATTCCCAGGGAAGGATTATGCAATTATTTACAATCTTAGAATTGTACTTTATCAGCAAAAACCACACCTGTAAATTCTGGAGTTTTGTAGTTTAATCTAAAATTTGTCTCATGACCCAAGATTCCAGAGTCCCAACTCTGGAGTTTGATCTCTCTCTGTCTCTCTGCCTCCCTCATTTTAAATTTTACAGAAATATCCAGTAACATAATGCTATAGAAAATCAAGTTTCCCCAGCACGTCGGGAAGCCGAGGTGGGCGGATCAACTGAGATGAGGGGATTGAGAGCAGCCTGGCCAACATAGTGAAACCGTGTCTCTGCTAAAAATCCAAAAATTAGCCATGCCTGGTGGCAGGCACCTGTAACGCCAGCTACTCAAGAGGCTGAGGCACGAGAATCGCTTGAACCTGGGAGGCGGAGGTTGCAGTGAGCTGAGATTGTGTCACTGCAGTCCAGCCTGGGCGACAGAGCAAGACTCCGCCTCAAGAAAAAAAAAAGCAAATAGCCTATAATAACAAATTAGAGGGCTCTGGCTACTAAATTTAAAGGGTTCTATAAGGCTACATAAAGTGTAGCATCATCAAGTGTGTGGACACAGACAGCCCCTTAGCAGAAACTGTCTAAAATACATCCATGTACACACAGTCCCTTTAGAGTTGACAAAGGCTGCCGTGTGGTTTAAGGTGGCATAGAATGTCTTCTCAATAAATAATATTAAACCAATGGGTTACACCTAGTAAAAAATAAATCTAACTCACACTATAAAAACACTTCTTAGTTTTTATCTAGTTGTACATTTTTTGATTTATATTTAAATTTGAGAAATAAAAGTCATATACGGTCATCCTTCACTATTCGTGGGTGATTGGTTTCGAGATCTCCACTCAGATACCAAAATCTGTAGATGCTCAAGCCTCTTATATGAAATGGCACAGCGCTTGCAAATAACATATGCACATCCTCCTGTATACATGAAATCATCTCTTGATTACTTATAATTCCTGATACAGCCTACACACAGCTTCATTTGTGTCCATTCAACATAGTTATGAGTTTTGGAACTCTGTGGATATTTTCTCTGAATATTTTTGATTTATACTTTGTTCAATAAAGACCTGTAAACCCCACAGATACGGAGGAGTGACCGTATATTTATAGTATGAAAGATGATGTGTTGATATGTGTCCCCATGGAGATGAGACTAACAAGGCCTATGACTCTACAAATGTTTCATCGTGGAATGACTCTGCCAGCTTTCCAGGTCTGCAGAGAGTAACAATGTCACTTGTTCATGTGATTCCCGATCCTTGGAACCTCCTATGTGCTGCATCTTTGGATGGAAATTGGAGTCCCAGAGACAAATGAGGCTCCACACTGCTTCCAGAAGCTCAGAGTCCAGAGGTGAGAACCCGGTGGAGAACAGATGGGATTATATGGACATGGTACTGATAACACCGGAAGCCTTAGGCAAGAAAAGAGTCCCATTACCTAAACCATGAGGGCAGACATGTTTATTTGAAGGAGGGAAAACTACATTGAAATTATTTTAAAAAATATATAAGTTTTACTGCTGACAGAAGGCTGAAAGCTAGTCTGAGGGGAGGTGGAACAGCATGAGGGAAGGTGGAACAGCACGTGTCTAAGTGCCGTGTTAAGAGGGAGCCTCTTGTATGTTTGGAATTGTGAGTTCCTCAGTGTGATTGCAGCCTCAAGTAGACTAGGAAGTAAGCCAGTTAGGTTGGAGAGGTGGGCAGGGGTCAAGTGAAATGGAGAATTGTGGGCTAAGCAAAGGAGTGTGTTTTCTCTCCAGCAGGCAGTGGGGACCTTAGACATTTGTAAGCAAGGGAGAGGCACGTTCAGATTTGTGGTGTGAGGAAGAGCGATGCCCTAAGATGCAGACTCACGCCTTCAGATTCCAGCTGCTGGTACATTGGAGCTGGCAACCCAGTTTTGAGACAGGGCTGTTGTCTCCCTAGAAGATCCCCTCAAGGCCTGACTGTGGTGCTCATGGGCAGGAGACAACTTTGGATCAGGGCTCAGCATTTGGAAGTTCCGTGTACACGATGATATCTGTTGGGGGTGTCTTGGGCCTCTGAGAAGGGCGAGTGATTTTTCTCTGTGTGAAAACGCAGTGATTCAACTGTGCATATGTCACCTCCTGAGGGTCTTGTTCATCAGAGTCCTGGAGAGAGGGAAATGCTGAGTGAGGGAGGGTGCTCACATTTTCCAGGACTCTTTGGGAATAACACTAGCCACGAGGCTGGGCCGAGGAGCACCTACCTCCCTGTTCACTGTTCTGTTCCCTGCAGGCTCTTGGTCCATTACAACAGCATCTGTAGAAGACGGAAGTCAACAAAACAGCTCAGAGGGCACTTCTGGGCCCTCATTTCATAAGCAGATACCAACATACAGGGGGAGACCATAGGAGCCTGAGGTCCCTCAGTTGCCAACAGCAGACTCAGACATTCTATCTCTCTGAGCTCAAGGACCCATCCCATGAATAGCTCTGAGTTCCCATCCCATTGATTCTGTCTCCCACTTTCTGCCTGTCATGGAACCTTCTCCTGGATGTGAGTGGCTGCAGGGGACATGAGGATACAGTTCAGAATCAGGCAATGGTCTGTGAGCTGAAGGCAGGGACAGGGAGTCTGGTGCTCTCTCTAGAAAGTCCTCCCTCTGTGGCTGCTGCCTTGGGCCAGGGACCATCCTGTCTGTGAGGAACACACACCTGAGTGCTCCCATCCTGCTTCCCCACATGGCCCTGAGCTCTCTGGCCTCTGCTTCGTGAGACTTACTTTTTTTGTTGCAGCACCAGCGATGAAGGAGAAAGAAGAGGAGGAGGATGAAGAGGATGATGACCACTGAGGTCCCAATCAGAACATGCAGGTGTCTGGGGTTACCTGGAAGAAGAGGAGACACCAATAAGAAGCTAATCATAGCAGTTCCTCTTTATGAATTGTCTCACATTTCTTGATTGACAGGTAACCACATACAACACCCCTTTAGGACAAGCACCCAGATGGAGGGAGACCCAGCTTTCTCCTGCTTTCTCAGTTATAGCTCTCATAGTAACCATAGAACGTGTTGAGGATACAACTACTTTAGTTGAGATGTTTGACCCCTTCAAACCTCACATTGAAATTTCACCCCCACTGTGGGAGGTTGGGCCTCTTGAGAGGTGTTTGGGTCATGGAGGTGGATCCATCATGAACAGACCAATGCTGTCCCAAGGAGACGGGGTTAGCAAGTTCCCCTTCTATTAGTTCCTGGAGAGCTGGTTGTTCAAAAGAGCTTGGAAGCTCCATCGCTCCCCCTCCCCCTTGCTCCCTCTCTTGCCGTGTGATCTCTGTGGTCTCTGCACAGACAGACCCTCCTTCCCTTCTGCCAGAGTGGGAGCAGCCTGAGGCCGTCACGAGAAATAGATGCTGGTGCCACGCTTCCAGTACAGCCTGCAGAACTGTGAGGCAAACCAATCTCTTTTCTCTAGAAGTTACCCAGGCTCAAGTGTTCCTTTAGAGCAACAAAAATGGACTAAGACAGCAACGTCCTGAGATCAGGAGGAACGTCTCAGAACAGCCTGGGCTGTCTTCCTGTTCTTCCTGGAGGAGGACGTCATGCAGTGCTTTAGCTGAGTGCTTCCTGTGGCTCCACAGTACAAAACCCAGGCTGGGCTGCTCTCTGGCTTCCCCCAGCTACACTGCAAATGGGGTGACTCCATATGTCCCGAGTAGCTTTTCTGAGCCTTGAGGGACTGGCTCACATTGAAATGTAGGTTTCTGTTGTCACTCGCTGCTTATCTGTTAGTAATGAACCTGCCTGTGTAATGTATTCTCTGTGTGTTCTGTCTCCCTGGAGTGACGGTGAGTGATAGGAATTGGCATAAGCCCAGGTGCAGTCCAGGAGGTATTTAGAGTCTTCTCTGGGAAGACTGCACTGGGATTGATACACAGCGAATGTGCTTTAGGATTTCTACATCCACAGCATTCTTGAATCAAACAACTTGCATTCTCCAAGAAAAGGAAACAAAAGTGAAATCAAGATAAAAAAAGCTAAGTAGAATTCTCTTATGTCAAATGGCCAGGAAATAGTGTTGAAGCCCGTGTGAAACGTGCTACTCTTTGTGATCTCGGGAGACACATGTTAGGCTGCTGTTCTACCCGAGAGGCTGGGGGAAGGACCACCCCCTCGGCCATCTATTGCTTCAATACCACCTGTCCTCCTGTGAATTAGTAGGAAAGGGGAGCAGGAGCTAGTGCTGGCACTGATCTCTGATTCCAAGATCTGGACTCACTCCAAGGAGTATCAATGTTTACCTCCCCATAGCCTATCTGAATCTCCACAGGTGATTGGAAGTAGGGGTGAGGTGGGGGATTTGGGTGAGTGGGCAAGTTTTTTGTTGCGATGAACAGAGCACTTTCTCTATTCCACGATCTGTGCTGGAGGATTCTGAGGGCTTTCACATTTTCTATGTGATCTCATTCTCACAGAAAGCCAAATAGGGAAGAGGTTTTAAGCTCATTGCCTAATGGATAAGATAACGGATCAAAGAAGTAATTATAGAGAAATAGAAAAACGATGATTGGAATTCAGGTGCCTTTGTCATTCGTGTGTGTTTTATTATATTTATGTATTTCTTATTTTTATTTTTTGAGATAGAGTCTCCTTGTGTCCCCCAGGCTGGAGTGCAGTGATGCAATCTCCACTCACTGCAACCTCCACCTACTGGGTTGAAGTCATTCTCCTGCTTCATCCTCCAGAATAGGAGCTGGGATTACAGGGATGCACCATCGTGCTCGGCTAATTTTTGTATTTTTAGTAGAGATAGGGTTTCACCACGTTGGCCAGGCTGGTCTGGAACTCCTGACTTCATGGAATCCACCCACCTTGGCCTCCTGCAGTGCTAGGTTACAGGCGTGAGCCACTGTTCACAGACTTGTATATTATGCTATAATAAGTCTCTTCATTTCCACCACCACTCATATATCTGTCACTCCTTTGCCAGGTATTGATTTATGTGTAGGATGAATAAATCTCAGAAAGAAATTAATTAAGCGAGGATTAAACAAGTAGGAAAATCAAACCCAGTAAGCGTTTCCAGTCAATGATTCTACCTCACAAACATATCTTATATCCATCTACTTCATTCATTTAGTGTCTAAATCAGCACCACATTTCACCAGTGGGGTGGCAATTGCCTTTTCCACGGTCTCCTAGATTCCAGTTATGCAACTGAGCCTCCCTTATTTTCATGTCAGTCATATTAATCATGTAGGGATTCCTGGTTACCCCGAGGTGAATCCAATGGCTGTGAGTGTCAAACACACACTCCTTGTTGCTCCTTAGTTTCCTGTGTACCCAGTGTGCTCTCCGTCTCTCTACAGTCGTCTTGTCATTCTCCCCACATCATTCCCAGCATTTGAGGCAGAGCCTCTTCCTTCCACATCAGATTGTTTTCACCTTTGTGCCTTCACGGCTGACAGCTGTGTGTGCAAAATCCTTCCGCCAATCTTTCAGGGGTTCAATCCGTGTTTTTCATTAATGTCACAAATATCTGAATAGTGAGACCTTCTTTGTCACCTGAAATCATACACTCAGCATTATCTATTATTGATTTTGAATTCTGGCTGGGCACAGTGGCTCACGCCTGTAGTCCCATTACTTTGGCATGCTGAGACGGTCGGATCACTTGAGGTTGGGAGTTTCAGACAAGCTTGGCCAACGTGGTGAAACATCCTCTCTACAAAAAATATACAAAAAGAATTAGCCGGGCACGGTGGCAGTTGCCTGTAATCCCAGCTACTCGAGAGGCGGAGGCAGGAGAATCACTTGAATCCAGGAGACGCAGGTTGCAGTGAGCCAAGATCGTGACACTGCACTGTAGCCTGGAAGACAGAGGGCGACTCTGTCTCAATAAACAAAAGAACAAACAAAAAATAGATTTCATGCACAGATGCTTCCCAATGGATCATTCATTTATAGATCCACTTGTGCATTCATTTTCTGCCCTCCCATTTAACCATCTGCAATATCAGTGTCCCAAGGGCAGAAGCCAAATGCATCTTGTTCACCGTTTGTGGAAGGCAGGAGAATGCTGTCCCACCCCAAAATGTCCCTGTCCTAGCCTCCATAGCTTGTGAATATGTTATTTTACATGGAAAGGAGGAATGAAGATTGTAGATGGAATTGCGGTTGCTAATCAGCTGAACTTAAAACAAGGGTATCCTGGATGATTTCCAGGAGATTATGAGGGATTTTCATCTTGGTGAACCCAATAGAATCCCCAAGTTTTCAAAAGATAAGGAAGAAGGGAGAGCAGCATTCAGAGAAAGAGGTGTGGTAAGGAAGAAGGCACTGAGTGATGCCATGTGAGATGTGACCAGTCTTTGTGGGCTTTGAGGAAGGAGGAAGGGGAACAGGAGCCAAGGAACTGGGAGCCTTTAGAAGCTGGGATAAGTGAGAAGCAGATTCTTGCCTGGAATCCTCAGAGGGAAGGCAGCCTTGCTGTCACCTTGATTTTAGCCCAGTAAGATGCACTTCCTACTTTGAGCTACAGCACTGTAAGATAATTAAAAAACCGTTTTGTTTTCACCCACGAATCTTGTGGAAATTTGTTATGGCAACAATAGGAAAAGGTTCCGCACTGCACAGCCTGAGCATGGGGCCGTGGCTGAATGAGTCAGTGAGTCGAAGTGTGCGTGCATGAGCTCCGTTCTCTGTTACGGCAAGGCTGTTGCTCTGCTGAGTCAGCCAGGGTTGCTTCATGACCAACAGTAATTCATTCCTTGGCAAGTGGAACTTCTCTAAAACACCTCGCCCTCATCAGATGTTCCCTTCCCTTCCCTCTCTCAAGCCCCCAGGAATTTATCCTCCAGTTAGGAATGCAGGCAGAACAAACATTGCATTTTTCCTGAGAAGGATGTCAGATTGGCAATCATTCTTCTAGCTTGTAGGAGGTCTCAGCTCCATAAAATGAGAGATTAAGAGATTTCACTGAGCCCTAGGTTGGGCCCAGATCCCTTTCGCTGTTGGAGTATCTGGAGTTCGGAGATGGTAGAAGACAGGCGTACAATGTCAGAGCTGCGAGATGCTGAGTCAATGCCTGCATCGAAGGTTTCTACCTCCCCAGGTTTCCAAAAGCGGATATAAGAGGGTTCTGTACTCACCGGTTTCGGAGCTTGGTTCAGTGGGTGAAGGCCAACTATTTGAAGGGTTTCCTAGAACACGAGACAGGAGAGAGGTGAGGAAATGAGGGTGTCTGTCCTCTACTCAATGGAAATCTTTGAGGTTGGTTCATGGCCAACACTCTGTTATCTAATATTGGGCCCTGGGAGTCCTGGGATCCTTTTTTCCGTAATTTTTGTATGTGACGCCCACTGTCTTGAGACTTCAAGGTATAAAGAGAAAACAGGAGCATCACACTACCTGATCTCAAAATATGTTACAGAGCTGTAGTAAGCAAAACAGCATCACATTGGCATAAAGAAAGGCACGTAGAACAATGGAGCAGAATGAAGAACACAGATATAATCCATGCATTTACCTCCAATGTTTTTTTCTTTTTTCTTTTGAGATGGAGTCTCGCTCTGTCACCCAGGCTGGAGTGCAGAGGTGCAATCTCGGTTCACTGCCACCACAGCCTCCTGGGTTCAATCAATTCTCTGGCCTCAAACTCCTGAGTAGTGGTATTACAGGTGCTGACCACCATGCTCAGCTAATTTTTATATTTTTAGTGGAGACAATGTTTCATCACGTCGGCCAGACTAATCTTGAACTCCTGGCCTCAGGTGATCCACCCGCCTTGGGCTCCCAAAGTGCTGAAATTGCAGGTGTCAGCCACCATGCCCAGCCCATCCAATGGACTTTGACAAAGGTGCCAAGAACTCACAATCAGGAAAGGACAGTCTTTTCAATAAACAGTGCAGGGAAACCTGGACATCTACATGCAGAGGAATGAAACTGCACCTCTACCTGTCACTATACACAAAACTCAAATGAAAATGGATTAAAGATGTGAGTCTAAGGCCTGAACCTATGAAACACGTAGAAGAAAATATTGGGGAAATGCTCTAGGACATTTGTCTGAAGGAAGACATTTTGTTTTAAACCTTCAAAACACAAGTAATCGAAGCAAAAATAGACCATTGGGATTACCTCAAACTAAGCAACTTCTGCACCGCTAAAAATAAACCAACAAAGTGAAGAGACAACCCACAGATTGGGAGCAAATATGTGCAAACTATGCATCTGAGATGGGATTAATAACTAGAAATATAAGAAGCTCAAACAACTCAATAAAACAAACGATTTAATTGAAAAAGGAGCAAAACACATGAAATTTCCCCACATACTAAAAAGTGCTCAGTTTCACTCATCATCAGAGAAACACAAATTAAAATCAAAGTGAGTTTTCATCTCACCCCATTAAAATGGATTTTAGGCCGGGCGTGGTGGCTCACGTCTGTCATCCTAGACCTTTGAGAGCCTGAGGTGGGTGAACCTCATAAGGTCGGGAGTTTGAGACCAGTCTGACCCACATGAAGAAACACTGTCTCTACTAAAAATACAAAATTTAGTTGGGCGTGGTGGCGTGTGCCTGTAATTCCAGCTACTCGGGAGGCTGAGGCAGGAGAATCGCTTGAACCTGGGAGGTGGAGGTTGTGGTGAGCCGAGATCGCACCACTGCACTCCAGCCTGGGTGACAAGAGCGAAACTCCATCTCAAAATAAAATGAAATAAAATAAAATGGCTTTTAGCTGCAAGACAGGCAAAGGAAATCCTGCCAAAGTGGTAGAGAAAGGAGAACCCTAATACCCTGTTGGTAGGAGTGTAAATTAGTACAGCCTTTACGGAGAAAAGTGTGGAAGTCCTTTAAAGAACTAAAAAGAGGTTGGGTGAGGTGGATCATGCCTGTAATCCCGGCACTTTGGGAGACCGAGGCGGGCACCTCAGTTGAGGTCATGAGTTTGAGAGCAGCCCAGCCAACATGGGGAAACCCCATCTATACTAAAAAAAACAAAAAGTAGCCAGGCATGGTGGCGTGCACCTGTAATCCCAGCTACTAGGGAGGCTGAGGCAGGAAAATCATTTGAACCCAGGAGGCGGAGGTTGCAATGAGCCAAGATGACTTCACTTGTACTCCAGCCTGGGCACAGAGGGAAACTGTCTCAAAAACAAAAACAAAACAACAAACGAATAACTAAAAAGAGAACTTTCATAGTATCCAGCAATTTCACTACTGGGTTTATATCCAAAGGAAAGTAAATCAATATATCGAAGTGATATCTGCACTCGTATGATTGGTGCAGCACTGTTCACAGTAGCCAAGATGTGGAGTCAACCTACCTGCCCATCAGTGGATGAATGGATAGAGAGAATGTAGTACATACGCACAGTGGAGACTACTCATCCATAGAAAGAATAACATCCTGATATTTGCAGCCACATGGATGGAACTGGAAGTCATTACAAAGATTCCCATTTCTCACCCATATACAGAGCTAAAAGGTGGATCTCATGAAGGTAGAGAGTAGAATGGTGGCTTCCAGAGGCCAGGAATAAAAGGGTGGAGGGTAAAAAAAAAAAAAAAAAAAATATATATATATATATATATATATATATATATATATATGTTTATATATGTGTGTGTGTGTGTATATATATATATATATATATATATATAAATGTATTTATGACCACTAGACTTTACACTTAAAAATGGTAAATGTGGCTGGGCGTGGTGGCTCATGCCTGTAATCCCAGCACTTTGGGAGGCAGATGCGGGTGGATCACGTGGTCAGGAGTTGGAGACCAGCTCGACCAACATGGTGAAACCCCCTCTCTACTAAAAATACAAAAAGTAGCCTGGCGTGGTGGTGCGCGCCTGTAGCACCAGCTACTCAGGTGGCTGAAGCAGGAGAATCACTTGAACCCAGGAGGCGGAAGTTGCAGTGAGCTGAGATTGTGCCACTGCACTCCAGCATAGGGGACAGAGCTAGACTCTGCCTCAAAAAAAAAAAAAATGTTAAAGGTGGTAAGCTATATAGGTATATTTATCCTCAATAAATATTTCTTCAAACAAAAGTAAAGGGTGTAGGGGTTGCTGGTGATGACATCCCTGTGTGGGTGAGAGGCCAGGATGGGCTTCTGGGAAATGGGTAATGTTGAGGGGCTGAGGGAACCTCTGATCTTCCCAAACTGAGCCCAGTCTCTCTCCTCTGGGTCTCTCCTGACCGTTTTCTCCATCTGCCTGTGTGCCTGGAGCCCTGGCCGCGGGCCTTCATGCAGGCCGTGTAGGAGGGTTTGGAGGTGCCCTGTCTGCCATCCTGTGCCCTGATCCCTCCCTCACACCCAAGCTTCGTCTTCTCTCTGCATCTGTCCATGCTTCTCTCCATCATCAGCAGGAAGCTCCTCAGCTAAGGCTCTAGGATCATAGGACATGAGACAGATATGGGGTTTCCTCACCTGTGACAGAAACAAGCAGTGGGTCACTCGAGTTTGACCACTCGTATGGAGAGTCACGGAAAGAGCCGAAGCATCTGTAGGTTCCTCCGTGGGTGGCAGGGCCCAGAGGAAAGTCGGCCTGGAATGTTCCGTTGACCTTGGGCCCTGCAGAGAACCTACGTTCATGGGCCTCCCCCTCCCTGGATAGATGGTACATGTCATAGGAGCTCCGGGAGCTGCAGGACAAGGTCACGCTCTCTCCTGCCAGAACCGTGGGGCCCGGCTGGGCTGAGAGAGAAGGTTTCTCATATAGACCTGGAGGAGAAGAGGCATTTTCCTTACGGAGGATCTTCCTTGTCACAGCTCCCTTCACCTGAGCTGAGAACTCACTCCCCTGCTCTATGACCTAATGCTCTCTCTCTCTCTCTCTCTCACCCTCCACCCCATCTCTCTTCATGTCTATTTCCTTCTTCCACCTTCTCTGTCTCTCTAGGTCTCTGACCTCGCTTCCCCACCTCTAGATATGTTTTCCCTTTTTGGATTCTTTTATTCTCTCTGACTCTCCTTGGATTGGTTGACTTGATGTTACTTTTTTAAATTCTAAGTTTCTCACGTTGTGTCCTGTTCATAACTTTCTGCATATTTCTATCTATTATCTGTCGATCTATCTATTTATCTATTCGGTGCCTATCTACAAATTCTCTACCTGTCATCTATATCTATATATCATCTATGTATCTATCACTTGTCTATCTATCCATCAATCATCTGTTATTTATATGTATGTATCATCTCTCTCTCTATGATTTCTGTCTGCCTCTCTATCTGTACGTATTATCTGTCTTCATCATCATCATCTCTATGTATTATCTATTAATGAATCAATCAATCATCATCTATGTATCTTTAACCTATTATCTATCATCTACCTATTTATCATCTATCTATATCTATCCATCTATCATCTGTCTTGCTCTGCCTCTCGGTCTCTCTAGTTCTCTTTGGAATCTCTGCAATTCATCCCCACATCTCCATGTTTCTATGTCCTTGTGCCTCTCTCTCAGGACTCTAATTTTAGTGCTTTTCTCTGCTCCCTGCCATCATTCTCACCACTCCTCTGCCCTCTTTTCTCTCTCTTTATGTGTCTGTGAGTCTCTCAATCTCCTTCCTCTGGCTCATTCTCTGTGTGTTTATGTCTTTGCTTTTTGGTGTTCCTGATTTTTCTCTGTGCCTCTCAGTGATCCTTTCATATGTGGGGTTATTTGGAATGTGAGCCACAGAATCCAGTCTGGAGACCACAAGTTCACACAGCATACAGGGGTTGGTGTTCTGGGGCCATGATATCCTGGGACGATTACTCTCCATTACATGGAAGGCAGAGGTGTCAGAATAAACATGGCCTGTAGGTGCCACAAGGCCTGAGGCCACAGGGCCCAACTCAGGTCATAAATATGGGTGTCCTTGGGTTCTCCTGGTAGAGAACACTTTGTGGAGGTAAAACAGAAATGAAACTTCTAACCTGTGCCAGGTCTGTGAGCAAAGTCAGCATGGAGGGACACCTCTCTCTGGGACATGTCTGTCTGTCTGTCTCTTTTAACTCTTTCTGTCTTTTCTAACTCCCTGTATGGCCCCTGTGTCTGTCCTCTGTTATGACACCTGGTCTGTACTTGTGTCTCCTGTTTCTCTGTCTCTGTTGGTACAAACCTCAGCAAGTCAGTCTCTCTCCATAAGAATACCAAGCTCATCTTCCTTACAACTACCTGGGGGTTCCAAGTCGTGGATCATTCACTCTGCATCCCAATGACAATGAGAATGTCCGGACACTCTCACCTGTGATGACGATGTCCAGAGGGTCACTGGGAGCTGACAACTGATAGGGGGAGTGAGTAACAGAACCGTAGCATCTGTAGGTCCCTGCAAGGTCTTGCATCATGGGACCGATGGAGAAGTTGGCCTTGGAGACCCCATCATGGTGCTCTCCAATGAGGTGCAAAGTGTCCTTAAACTTCCCTTCTCTGTGCAGAAGGAAGTGCTGAAACCTGACATCTGACCAACATTGCAGGATGACTGTCTCTTCTGATTTCACCAGGGGACCTGGGTGGGCCAGGAGGGAAGGTTTTCTGTGGACTCCTAGGAAGAGAGGTTGTGAGTTTAGAAGGTGTCTCTCTTTATCATCCCATCCATGGCACCTAGAATGAGTGAGGCTTCCCCTTGCTGGTGTCTGTCTCTCTCCTTCCTCTCTGTGTCTTCATGTTCTTTTCTGTGCCCTTAACTCCTGGTGCAGGTCCTTCCATCTGTCTCCCTCCCTCTTCTCTGTCCCTCTGTCTCTAGTAGCCTCTGATTCCCTTCCCACTGGGCTGAGCCTCATCTCTTGGGGTGTTGTATCTATTTCACACTAATGTATTTCCTGCTGTTTATGTGGGGGTGAAAGAGGAACCAGGATAGGCTGCACATCCAGGCTCTTATCAGCCTGGTTCAATCTCTTTTGGATGAATTGCAATCCTTGGCAGAAGGTATGAACTGATGAATAAGGCAGGCACCAGTGTCCACACACCCTGTTCCTGGTGGGGACTGGGAGCCACTCTTGCCATGCCTGTGCCTTCTCCATGGTGCCAGCTTCCATAGGCTGGCTCCTGGTGCTGGTTGGAGGAGTATCAACCCCTCCCTATGTGGATGGAGCCTGGTGGTGGCATCATCATCCCACCCTTGCTGATCTCAGGGTAGCCAACCTTCTCCTTGTTTGGTTTCTTTAATTAATTAATTAATTATGGAGACAGAGTCTCACTCCTTCACCCAGGCTGGAGTGAAGTGGTGTGGTCTAGGCTCACTGCAACCTCTGTCTCCTGGGTTCAAGTGATTCTCCTGCCCTCAGCCTCCTGAGTCGCTAGGATTACATGCACCTGCCACCATGCCTGGCTTTCCTTGGGTTGTTTCTTAACTTGTCCTTGACCTGGGTTCCAGTGTTGGTTTCCTGTTGCTGCTGTAGAAAATTATCAGAAGCATGGCAGCAGGAGAGACCACACTGACACCTTCCAGTACTGGAGACAGAAATTGGACCCTATTTTTCCTGGGCTAAAATCAAGGCATCTGCAGGGCTTTGTTCCCTCTGGAGACTCTGGAGAATCAGTTCCTTGACTTTTCCAGCCTCTATAGGCCACCTGCATTCATGGATCTTGGCCTTCCTCCACCTTCAAAGCTGGTGAAGACTTCCACTGGACTGCTCTAATCCCCACTCCCCTCTTCCTCCTCCTTTCATGTGCACCCTTGTGATTACACTGAGCCCAGTGGGACAGTCCAGGCTGTCTCCCCATGAGCTCCATCTTCCCCTTCAGTCCCTTCCCCTATAACATAAATAGTCACAGACTCCAGGGATTAGAATGTAGTCATCACTGGGGACAATTATTCTTCCCACCACAGCACCCATTTCCCTGTATTCAATCCCCCTTTACCACAAATACAGTCAGGGCCTGCGTGATGGGACCCTCAAGGACATGCCCAACAGAAGCTCTGGGATTCAGGAGGTGGGACAAGGAGAATCCAAGACAGGAGCCCTCTGACCTATGACCACGATCACCAGGGGGTTGCTGGGTGCTGACCACCCACTGGGGGAGTGTGTGTGTGAACCCCGACATCTGTATGTCCCTGTGTGTGCGGGGGTCACAGGGCCCATGAAAAGGCTGTTCCAGAATATTCTGTTGTAGAGCTCAGGGACAGGCACCCCACCTTCCTTTTACAGACTGAAGTTGTTAAACCCAAGATAAGAGTGACACCGAAGAATGACATGTCCTAGAGGCACCACAAGGCTGGGCCAGGCAGACAGCAAGGGCTTGTCCTGACCACCTTGGGGAGAAGGAGGCGCCGCCTTAGAGAGGAGGATGTGGAACTGCCCTTCCCTCCCTGTGCTCAGAAGATTCTCCTCGCTTTCCACGTTTCTATGGCTACTATCACACCTTGGTGCCCAGGGCTGAAGGAAGGACCCATCCCGCAAAGACATGGTGTCTCCCTACAACAAAAGCCTCAGCTGAGAACTTTGAGCAAGTGCTGAGTAAAGAGACTCCTACTAGATTTTAATACTGTAAGATTACTCACATAAAACAACACAGGGTAGACATGAGGTGGAGGGCATGTCCTTTGTGAATGGATATCAGCGGATGCCTGAACGAAAATAAACAACTGAGCCCCCATCAGAGGATTTGGAATGTCAGGGCCATGGCTGTGGTTTCCCACCTCTTCTGGTAGAATGACAGCAGCCACACTGCAGCCCCTACCATCATGGAAACGCTGAAGTGTGTGAGTAACACCTTTGTCCTCAGAGGATCTGCTGTTCCTACCACTTCCCAACCACACACCCCAGCTTTGAGCACCCCAGTCTAACCCTGGTCCCCACAGAACTTGACTCTGCCAAGGGGTTGAGAGGCCAGGGAGGCGAGGTCAGAAATGTGGGCTGAGCACCCCAGGGTCCTCTCTTCCTAGTTTATGAGAGACTCCCCGACAGGACTTCCCTCCTGTTTCAGGAAAATCCTCTTATGTGGGGAGATGACACCCGAAGGTTTGGAGAAGGACTCACCCTCATGTGGCCAGGCCCCCTGCAGCAAGAAGAACCCTGGAAAGAAAGATCATGATGGACCATCCATCTGCAGGCAAACCAGGCCTCCCTTGCTGCCCCCACTGGGCTGTGAGTCTTGGCAGCCAGGCCCTTCCTGGGCTGAAGTTAAACTCACCCTCAGTGCCTACCTGCACCCAAGAACAGGGCTGTCGGCTGTGCAGAGACCCAGTTTCCAGGCCCATATCCCCACCCCAAGCCCATATCTCCACTCCAGGCTGATATTTCCACCCTAGGCCCATATCGCCAATCCAGGCTCAGATCTCCACCCTAGGCCCCTATCTCCAATCCAGTCCCATATCTCCGCCCCAGGCCCAGATCTCCACCCTAAGCCCATATCTCCACTCCAGGCCCATATCACCTCTCCAGTCCCATATCTCCACACCCAGGCCCATATCTCCTTCCTAGGCCCATATCTCCACTCCAGGCCCAGATATCCACCTCTAGGCCCATAACTCCACTCCTGGCCCATATCTCCACTCCAGGCCCATATCTCTACTGCAGGCCCGTATCTCCACCTCCAGACCCATATCTCCACTCCAGGCCCATATCTCCACCTCCAGGCCCATATCTCCACCTCCAGGCCCATATCTCCACTCCAGGCCCATATCTCCACTCCAGGCCCATATCTCCACTCCAGGCCCCTATCTCTACTGCAGGCCCATATCTCCATCTCCAGGCCCATATCTCCATCTCCAGGCCCATGTCTCCACTACAAGCCCATATCTCTACTGCAGGCCCATATCTCAACCTCCAGGCCCATATCTCCACTCCAGGCCCAGATCTCCACTCCAGGCCCAGATCTCCACTTCTAGGCCCATCACTCCATCTCTAGGCCCATAACTCCACTTCCAGGCCTATATCTCCAACTCTGGGCCCCGATCTCCATCCCCGCACTCCCTCCCTCGATGCCCTTCCAGGACTCACCAACACACACCATGCTGACGACCATGAGCGACATGGTGCTGTCTGTGCAGACAGGCGGCCGCGCCCCAGCTCAGCTCAGCAGCGCACAGGATGTTATTTGGCGCCCTGCCCATGCAGTTTACATGTTGACCACATCATGGGAGGGTGACGTACGCAGGCTCTTTCTACCTTGCATGAGGCCCAGTGGGTGCTCGCTCAAGAGCGGAACATGGCTTCCTGGAAATTGTTCTCACTAGAATTGACACCTTGCGTCCTTCACTACGACCAGACTCAAAAGACGTCTCAGATCCAACCTCTCATACACGAGATGATTGAATTCTGTGCTTACATTAAAGATTTTTGATGTATTTTTGTTTTTATCTGAGATTCAAACTCTTCTTCATATGTAATGTGCAAAATGTCTAACAGGTATTATTAACATTATCAGAGTAATTGTGACAAGAAGCCATTCTAATTTTCCTGCTTGAGTTTCTACTACTAAACCAGAGGCATCAGAATAGCTTGAACCTGGGAGACGGAGGTTGCAGTGAGCTGAGCTCAAGCCACTGAACTCCAGCTTGGGTGACAGAGGAAGAGTCTGTCTCAAGAAAAAAAAAAAAAGCAAACTAAATAACCTATAATAACAAATCAGAGGACTCAGGTTACCAAATTTTAAGGGGTTCTATAAGTTTATATAAAATGCAGCATCCTCATGAGAGGGGATACAGAGAACCACTGGACAGAAAACTGTGTCTAAAATACATCTGTGGATACACAGTCCCTTTATAGTTGACAAAGGCTGCCATGTAGTTTAAGGTGGAATAGAATATTTTCTCAACAAATAACACAGGACCATAGGGTTACACGTAGGAAAAAATAAATCTAAACTTATCCTCACACTATAAAAACACTTCTTATTTTTTATCTTGTTGTTGTAAATTTTTTATGCTTTATTTTTAAGATTGACAAATAAAAATTATATACCATGGTCCTTCACTATACCTGGGTGATTGGTTCCAGGATCCCCATTCAGATACCAAAATCTGCAGATGCTCAAGCCCCTTGCATGAAATGGCATAGTGAAGCTGGGCACCGTGGCTCACGCCTGTAATCCCAGCACTTTGGGAGGCTGAGCTGGGTAGATCACAAGGTCAGGAGTTCAAGACCAGCTGGTCCAACATTCTGAAACCCCATCTCTACTAAAAATATACACACAAAAAAATTTATCTGTGCATGGTGGCACGTGCCTGTAATCCTAGGGGAGGCTACTGGGGAGGCTGAGGGAAGAGAATCGCTTGAACCTGGAAGGCGGAGGTTGCAGTGAGTTGAGATCACGCCACTGCACTCCAGCCTGGGTGAGAGAGTGAGACTGTCTCAAAAAAAAAAAAAAAATAGCATAGCAATTGCATAGAACCCATGCACATCCTCCTGTATACATGAAATCATCTCTTGATTACTTATAATTCCTGACACAGCCTACACGCCACTCAATTTGTGTCGATTCAACATAGTTTTTTGCTTTTTGAAACTTCGGGGATTTTTTTTCTCAAAATATTTTTGATTTATTGCTGATTCAATAAACATGTGTAAACCCCAGAGATATGGAGGAGTGACTGTCTATTTATAGTAGTATGAAAGATGATGTGTTGATACGTGTCCCTGTGGAGATGAGACTAACAAGGCCTATGACTCTACAAATGTTTCATCGTGGAATGACTCTGCCAGCTTTCCAGATCTGCAGAGAGTAAGAATATCACTTGTTCATCTGATTCACCATCCTTGGAACCTCCTATGTGCTGCATCTTTGGATGGAAATTGGAGTCTCAGAGACAATTCAGGCTCCACCATGCTTCCAGAAGCTCAGAGTCCAGGGCTGAGAACCCAGCGGAGAACAGATGGGGTTATGTGGACGTGGTAATGATAACACCGGAAGCCTTAGGCAAGAAAAGAGTCCCATTGAAGAAACCATGAGGGCAGACATGTTTACTTGAAGAATAGAAAACTACATTGAAATTATAAAAAAAATTTATAAGTTTTACTGCTGACAGAAGGCTGAAAGATACTCTGAGGAAAGGTGGAATAGCACGTATCTAAGTGCCGTGTTAAGAGGGAGCCTCTTATATGTTTGGAATTGTGAGTTCCTCAGTGTGATCGCAGCCTCAAGTAGACTAGGAAGTAAGCCAGTTAGGTTGGAGAGGTGGGCAGGGGTCAAGTGAAATGGAGAATTGTGGGCTAAGCAAGTGTGTTTTCTCTCCAGCAGGCAGTGGGGACCTTAGACATTTGTAAGCAAGAGAGAGGCATGTTCAGATTCGTGGTGTGAGGAAGAGCGATGCCCTAAGATGCAGACTCACGCCTTCAGAGTCCAGCTGCTGGTACATGGGAGCTGGCAACCCGGTTTTGAGACAGGGCTATTGTCTCCCTAGAAGATCCCATCAAGGCCTGACTGTGGTGCTAGTGGACAGAAGACAACTTTGGATCTGCGCTCAGCATTTGGAAGTTCCGTGTTACACGCTGGTATCTGTTGGGGGTGTCTTGGGCCTCTGAGAAGGGCGAGTGATTTTTCTCTGTGTGAAAACGCAGTGATTCAACTGTGCGTATGTCACCTCCTGAGGGTCTTGTTCATCAGAGTCCTGGAGGGAGGGAAATGCTGAGTGAGGGAGGGTGCTCACATTTTCCAGGACTCTTTGGGAATAAGACTAGCCACGAGGCTGGGCGGAGGAGCACCTACCTCCCTGTTCACTGTTCTGTTCCCTGCAGGCTCTTGGTCCATTACAACAGCATCTGTAGAAGACGGAAGTCGTCAAAACAGCTCGGAGGGCACTTCTGGGTCCTCATTTCATAAGCAGATACCAACATACAGGGGGAGGCCATAGGTGCCTGAGGTCCCTCAGTTGCCAACAGCAGACTCAGACATTCTATCTCTCTGAGCTCAAGGATCCATCCCATGTATAGCTCTGAGTTCCCATCCTATTGATTCTGTGTCCCACTTTCTGCCTGTCATGGAACCTTCTCCTGGATGTGAGTGGCTGCAGGGGATGTGAGGATACGGTTCAGAATCAGGCAATGGTCTGTGAGCTGAAGGCAGAGGCAGGGAGTCTGGTGCTCTCTCTAGAAAGTCCTGCCTCTGTGGCTCCTGCCTTGGGCCAGGGACCATCCAGTCTGTGAGGAACACACACCTGAGTGCTCCCATCCTGCTTCCCCACATGGCCCTGAGCTCTCTGGCTTCTGCTTCGTGAGACTTACTCTTTTTGTTGGCACACCAGCGATGAAGGAGAAAGAAGAGGAGGATAGCAAAGGGGATGATGACCACTGAGGTCCCAATCAGAACGTGCAGGTTTCTGGAGTTACCTGGAGGAAGACAAGACACCAATAAGAAGCTAATCATAGCAGTTCCTCTATATGAATTGTCTCACATTTCTTGATTGACAGGTAACCACATACAACGTCTCTTTAGGACAAGCACCCAGATGGCGGGAGACCTAGCTTCCTCCTGCTTTCTCAGTTGTAGTAACCATAGAACGTGCTGAGGATACAACTGCTTTAGTTTAGATGTTTGACCCCTTCAAACCTCACATTGAAATGTAACCCCCAGAGTGGGAGGTTGGGCCTCTTGGGAGTTGTTTGGGTCATGGAGGTGGATCCATCATGAACAGATCAATGCTGTTCCAAGGAGACGGGGTTAGCAAGTTCCCCCTCTATTAGTTCCTGGAGAACTGGTTGTTAAAAGAGCTTGGAAGCTCCATCGCTCCCCCTCCCCCTTGGTCCCTCTCTTGCCGTGTGATCTCTGTGGTCTCTGCACAGACAGACCCTCCTTCCCTTCTGCCAGAGTGGGAGCAGCCTGAGGCCGTCACAAGAAATAGATGCTGGTGCCATGCTTCCAGTACAGCCTGCAGAACTGTGAGGCAAACACATTTCTTGTCTTTAGAAGTTACCCAGGCTCAAGTGTTCCTTTAGAGCAACAAAAATGGACTAAGACAGCAACGTCCTGAGATCAGGAGGAACATCCCAGAACAGCCTGGGCTGTCTTCCTGTTCTTCCTGGAGGAGGACGTCATGCAGTGCTTTAGCTGAGTGCTTCCTGTGGCTCCAGGGTACAAAACCCAGGCTGGGCTGCTTTTTGATTTCCCCCAGATACACTGCATATGGGGTGACTCCACATGTCTCGAGCAGCTTTTCTGAGCCTTGAGGGACTGGCTCACATTGAAATGTAGGTTTCTGTTGTCACTCGCTGCTTATCTGTTAGTAATGAACCTGCCTGTGTAATGTGTTCTCTGTGTGTTCTGTCTCCCTGGAGTGACGGTGAGTGATAGGAATTGGTATAGGCCCAGGTGCATTCCAGGAGGTGTTTAGAATCTTCTCTGGGAAGACTGGATTGGGATTGATACACAGCGAATGTGCTTTACAGTTTCTACCACCACAACCCTCTTGACTCAAAAAAATTACATTCTCCAAGAAAAGAAAGAAAAAATGAAATCAAGATAAAAAAAGTGAAGTAGAACTGACTTAAATCAAACAGCCATGAAATAATGATGTAGCCCAGGAACAACATGCTACTTTTTGTGATCTGCTGAGACATATATTAGGCTGCTATTCCACCCGAGAAGCACGGGGAAGGACCGCCCTCTCCGTCGTTTATTGTTTCAATACAGCCTGTCCTTCTGTGAGTTAGTACGAAATGTGACCAGGGGCTAGTGCTGGCACTGGTCTCTGAGTCCAAGATCTGAGCTCACTCCAAAGAGTATTAGTGTTTACCTCCCCATGATCTATCTGTATCTCCATAGGTGATTGGAAGTAGAGATGAATTGGGGGATTTGGGTGAAGGGGCAAGTTTTATGCCATGAACAGAGCACGTTCTCTATTCCAGGACCTGTGCTGGTGGGTTCAGGAGGCTTTCACATTTTCCATATGATCCCAAGCTCACAGAAAGCCAAATAAGGAAGAGGTTTAACCTGATTGTTTAATGGATAAGATAAAGGGTCAAAGAATTAAACACAGAGAAATAGAAAAATGATGGTTGGTATCCAGTTGCCTTTGTAATTTCTGTGTGTCATAATTATGTATGTTTTATTTTTATTTTTTGAGACAGAGTCCCCCTGTGTCAGGCTGGAGTGCAGTGATGCGATCTCAGTTCAACCTCTGCCTCCAGGGTTGAAGCCATTCTTCTGCTTCAGCCTCCCCAGTCGCTGGGATTACAGGCAGGTGCCAATGCACCAGGCTAATTTTTGTATTTTTAGTACAGACGGGGTTTCACCATGTTGGCCAGGCTGGTCTCAAACTCCTACCCTTAAGTGATCTACCCGCCTTGGCCTCCCAAAGTGTTGGGTTACAGGTGTGAGCCCCCATCCACAGTCTTGTATATTATATTATACTAGGTCCCTTCATTTGCACCACCCCTCATGTGTCTATCGCTCCTCTGCCAGGTATTGATTTAGATGTAGAAAAAAAACACATCTCAGAAAGAAATTAATGAAACAAGGATTAAACTACTAGGAAAAATCAAACCCAGCAAGCCCTCCCTGCAAATGATTCTACCTCACAAGCATAGCTTATATCCATCTTTCATTCATTTAGTGTGTAAATCAACCCTACGTTTCACCAGTGGGGCGGGAATTGCCTTTTCCACGGTCTCCTAGATTCCAGTTACGCACCTGGGCCTCCCTTATTTTCATGTCGGTCACTGTTAATCAGGTAGGGATTCCTAGTTAGCTCTGAGTTGAATCCAAGGGCTGTGAGTATCAAAAACATGCTCCTTGTTCCTCCTTAGTTTCCTGTGTACCCAGTGTGCTCTCCATCTCTCTACAGTTGTCTTGTCATTCTCCCCATCTCATTCCCAGCATTTGAGGCAGAGCCTCTTCCTTGAACTAAGAATGTTTCCACCTTTGTGCCTTCACGGCTGAGAGCTCAGTGTGGAAAATCCTTCCGCCAATCTTCCAAGGGTTGAATCCATTTTTTCCATTAAGGTCACAAATATTATCTGATCAGTGAGACCTTCTCTGTCACCTGAAATTATATACTCAGCATTATCTATTACTTATTTTAAATCCTGGCTGGGCGCAGTAGCTCTCGCCTGTAATCTTTGCACTTAGGGACGCTAAGGCGGTGGGATCACTTGAGATTGGGAGTTTGAGACAGCCTGCACAACATGGTGAAACCTCATTTCTACTAAAAAATATACCAAAAAAATTAGCCGAGTGTGGTGGCGCACAGCTGTAATCCCAGCTACTCGGTAGGCTGAGGCAGGAGAATTGCATGAACCCAGGAGGCAGAGGTTGCAATGAGCTGAGATTGTGCTACTGCACTCCAGCCTGTGGAACAGAGAGAGACTCTACTCAAAAAAAAAAAAGAAAACAAAAAACACACACACACACAAAAAACCCCAGATTTGGTGCACAGATGCTTCCCAATGGATCATTCATTTATTGGTACCCTTGTGCATTCATTCTCTGCCCTCGCATTTACCCATCTGCAATATCAGCGTCCCAAGAGCAGAGGCCAAATGCATCCTGTTTACCATTTGTGGAAGGCAGGAGAATGCTGCCCCACCCCCAAAATGTCCCTGTCTTAGCCTCCATAGCTTGTGAATATGTTATTTTACAGGAAAGGAGGAATGAAGATTGCAGATGGCATTACGGTTGCTAATCAGCTGAACTTAAAAAGAGGGTACGCTGGATGATTTTAGGGAGATTGAGATGGATTATCTTGGTGACCCCAATAGAATCCCAAAGTCCTTAAAAGATGAGGAAGAAGGCAGAGCAGGATTCAGAGAAAAAGGTATGGGTAAAGAAGAAGAGTCTGAATGATGCCATGTGAGACGTGACCAGCCTTTGTGGGCTTTGAGGAAGGAGGAAGGAGGAAGGGGACCAGGGGCCCAGGAACGTGGGAGCCTCTAGGAGCTGGGAAACGTTAAGGAGCAGATTCTTGCTTGGAACCTTAAAAAGAAATCCAGCCTTACTGTCCCTTTGATATCAGCCCAGTGAAATGCAGTTCATACTTCTGAGTTACAGCACTGTGAGATAATTAAGAAAAACATGTTTTCATCCACGAAGCTTGTGGAAATTTGTTATGGCAACAATAGGAAAAGATTCCACACTGCACAGCCAGAGCATGGGGCATTGGCTGAACGAGTGAGTGAGTGGAAGTGTCGTGTGCATAAATAAGCTAAATTCTCTCTTACTGCACGTCTCTTGCTCTGCTGAGTCAACCAGGGTTGCATCTGGTACACTGCTGATACGAATGCAAATTAGTACAGCCATTACAGAGGAGAAGAGTATGGAAGTTCCTCAAAAAATAAAATGAGGTCGGGCACAGTGGTTCATGCCTGTAATCCCAGCACATTGGGAGGCCGAGGTGGGTAGGTCACTTGAGGTCAGGAGTTGAAGAGCAGCCTGGCCAATATAGCGAAACTCTGTCTCTACTAAAAATATAAAAATTAGCCGAGTGTGGTGGTGGGAGCCAGTAACCCAGCTACTTGGGAGGCTGAGGCTGGGGAATCTCTTGAATCCTGGAGGTGGAGGTTGCAGTGAGCCCAGATGGCACCACTGCACTCCAGCCTGGGCAACAAGAGTGAAACTGTCTAAAAAAAACAAAAACAAAAACAAAAACCATAAAACAAAATGTAAAAAGACACTTCCAGAGGATCTAGCAATTCCATGACTGGGTGTAAACCCAAAGGAAAGGACATCAGCGTATCGAAGTGACATCTGCACTCCCATGACTGTTCCAGCAGTGTTCACAGTAGCCAAGATGTGGATCAACCTACCTGCCCATCAGTGGGTGAATGGATGGAGAGAATGTGGTACACACACACAATAGGGACAACTCATCCATAGAAAGAGTAACATCCTGTCATTTACAGCCACATGAATGGAACTGGAGGTCATTACAAGTATTTCCATTTCTCACTCATATGCAGGAGCTAAAAGGTGGATCTCACAAAGGTAGAGAGTAGAATGGTGGCTACCAGAGGCCAGGAAGGGAAGGGTGGAGGGTAAAAAAAAAAGAATACTAATTAATTAATTAATTAATTTTGAGAGAGTGTCTCTCTCTGTTGCCCAGGCTGCAGTGCAGTGGCATGATCTCAGCTCACTGCAACCTCCGCCTCCTGCAATTAAGTGCAACTCCTGCCCAACCCTCCCAAGTAGCTGGGACTACAGGCATGTGCCACCATGCTCGGCTAATTATTATCATTATTATTATTATTTTGTATTTTTAGTACAGATGGATTTTCCCCATGTTGGCCAGGGTGGTCTTGAGCCCCTGATCTCAAATGATCCACCTGCCTTGGCCTCTCAAAGTGTTGGGATTACAACAGTGAGCCACCGTGCCCAGCCTATAAATGTATTTATGAACAGTAGACTTCACACTTAAAAATGGTAAAGGTGGTAAATTACATAGGTATATTTCACCTCAATAAATATTTCTTCAAACAAAAAGAAAAGGGTGTAGGCGTTGCTGGTGATGACATCTCTCTGTGGGTGACAGGCCAGGATGGGCTTCTGGGAAGTGGGTAAGGTTGAGGGGCTGAGAGAACCTCTGATCTCCCCAGGCAGAGCCCAGTCTCCCTCCTCTGGGTCTGTTCTGACCTCTTTCTCCATCTGCCTGGGTGCCTGGAACCCTGATCAAGGGCCTCCTTGCAGGCCATACAGGAGGGTTTGGAGGTGCCCTGTCTGCCATCCTGCCCCCTGACCCCGCCCTTACACCCATGCTGTGTGTTCTGTCTCGGCATCTGTCCATGCTTCTCTCCATCATCAGCAGGAAGCTCCTCAGCTATGGCTCTAGGATCACAAGACATGGGACAGGCATGGTGTTTTCTCACCTGTGACAGAAACGGGCAGTGGGTCACTCGGGTCTGACCACGCGTGGGGCAGGGCACGGAAAGAGCCGAAGCATCTGTAGTTCCCTCCGTGGGTCACAGGGCCCAGAGGGAAGTTGGCCTGGAATGTTCCATTGACCCTCAGCACCGCAGTGAGCCTAAGTTCACCGGCCTCTGCCTCCCTGGATAGATGGTAAATGTCAAACAAGCTCCGGGAGCTGCAGGACAAGGTCACATTCTCTCCTGCCTGAACCGTGGGGCCCGGCTGGGCTGAGAGAGAAGGTTTCCCATATAGACCTGGAAGGAGAAGAGGTGGTTTCCTCAGGGAGGTTCTTCGTTGTCACAGCTCTCCTCACACCTGAGCTGAGAACTCACTCCCCTGCTCTATGACTTAATGCTCTCTTTCTCTCTCTCACCCTCCACCCCCATCTCTCTTCATGTCTATTTCCTCCTTCCACCTTCTCTGTCTCTCTAGGTCTCTGACCTCACTTCTCCATCCCTAGCTATGTTTTCTTTTTTTGTACCATTTTATTCTCTCTGACCCTCCTTGGACTGGTTGACTTGATCTTCCTCTTTCTTTAATTCTGAGTCTCTCACTTTCTGTCTTGCTCATAACTTTCTGCATATTTCTATCTACTATCTATTGATCGATCTATCATTTATCTATGTATGTATCTATCATCTATCATCATCTGTGTATCTATGACCTATCTCTCTGTTATCTATCATCTATCAATCAATGTATGTATGTATGCATCTATCCATCTATCATCATGTGTTTATCTTTCTATCTCTCTATATCTATTTATATATCATCTGTCTGTCTTTCTACTTGTCTATCTATATCATCTATCAGTCATTCATCATCTATTTGTCTATCACCTGTCTCTCTATTATCTATCATCTACCTTTTATCTTTCATCTATCTATATCTATCTATCCATCTATCATCTGTCTCTCTCCATCTCCTTGTCTTTCTCTGCCTCTCAGTCTCTCTAGTTCCCTTTTGGAGTCTCTGCAATCCATCCCCACATCTTTATCTTTCCCTGTCTTTGTGCCCCTCCCTCAGGGCTCTGATTTTAGGGCTTTTCTCTGCTTCCTTCCATCATACGCTCCACTTCTCTGCCCTCTTTTTCTATCTCTTTATGTGTCTGTGAGTCTCTCAATTCCCTTCTTCTGGCTCATTCTGTGTGTGTGTTCATGTCTTTGCTTTTTGATTTCCCTGATTTCACTCCGTGTCTCTCTGTGGGCTTTTGTTCTCAGTAATCCTATAACATGTGGTGCTATTTGAATATGAGCCTCAGAATCCAGTATGGGGACTCCAGGAACTCACAACATACAGGGGTTGGTGTTCTGCTCCCTCACCTGGGGCCATGGTGTCCTGCGACGACGACAGCTCCACTGCACGGAAGGCAGAGGTTTAAGAATAAACACAGCATCTGTAGGTGCCACCAGCCTGGGGCCACACGGCCCAACTCAGGCCAGATAGATGTGTCTCTTTGGGTTCTCCTGGGAGAGAACACTTTGTAGAGGTAAAACAGAATGGAACCTTCTAACCTGTGCCTGGTCTCTGAACAAAGTCAGCATAGAAGGACACCTCTCTCTGGGATATATCTGTCTCTCTGTGTCTTCTTTACCTCTTTATCTCTTTTTCTAACACCTTGTATGGCCCCTGTGTCTGGCTTCTATGTTATGACATGAGGTCTGTACTTGTGTCTCCTGTTTCTCTGCCTTTGTTGGTACAGACCTCACCAAGTCACTTTCTCTCCATAGGAACCCCACACTCATCTTCCTCATGACCACCTGGGGCTTCCAGTCCTAGATCATTCACTCCATCTCCCAGCAAGGGTGAGAGGCAGGTCTGTATTCTCTCACCTACGACCACGATGTCCAGAGGGTCACTGGGAGCCGACAACTCATAGGGTAAGTGAGTGACAGAACCAAAGCATCTGTAGGTCCCTGCAAGGGCAGGTGTCATGGGACCCATGGAATAGTTGACCTGGGAACCCGCATCGTGGAGCTGTCCAATGAGGCGCAAGGGGTCCTCAGTGATCCCCTCTCTGTGCAGAAGGAAGCGCTCAAACCTGACATCTGACCAACATTGCAGGATGACCGTCTCTCCCGATTTCACCAGGGGACCTGGGTGGGCCAGGAGGGAAGGTTTTCTGTGGACTCCTAAGAAGAGAGGTTGTGAGTTCAGAAGGCGTCTCCCTTTCTCATCCCATTCATGGGACCTGAAATAAGTGAGGCTTCCCCTCCATGGTGTCTATCTCTCTCCTTCCTCTCTGTGTCTCCGTGTTCTTTTGTGCCCATAACCCCTGTTGCAGGTCCCTCCATCTGTCTCCCTCCCTCTTCCCTGTCTCTCTGTCTCTAGTAGCCCTGATTCCCTTCCCACTGTGCTCAGTGTCACCTCTTATGCTGTTGTATCTGTTTCCCACTAATCTCTTTCCTGGTGTTTATGTGGGGGTGGAAGAGGAACCACGACAGGCTGCATGTCCAGGCTCTTAGCAGCCTGAATCAATCTCTTTTGGACAGATTGGAAAGGCTGGCAGGAGGTACGAACTCATCAGTAAGGCAGGCATCAGTGTCCCTGTTCCTGATGGGGATTGGGAGCCTCTCCTGTCATGTCTGTGCCTTCTCCATGGCCCCAGCTTCCATAGGGTGGCCCCTGGTGCTGGTTCCAGGAGCATCAACCCCTCCCTATGTGGATCGAGCCTGGTGGTAGCATCAGTATCCCACCCATGCTAAAATCAGTGTAGCCAACCTTCTCCTTGTTTGGTTTCTTAACTTGTGCTTCACCTGGGTTCCTGTGTTGGTTTCCTGTTGCTGCTGGAGAAAATTGTCACAAACATGGGGCAGGAGAGAATACAATGACCCCTTCCACTTCTGGAGAACAGAAATCGGACCCAGTTCTCTCTGGGCTAAAATCAAGGCATCTACAGGGCTGTGTTTCCTCTGGAGACTCAGGGAAGAATCAGTTCCCTTGACTTCTCCAGCCCTTAGAGGCCAACTGCCTTTGTGGCTCATGGCCTTCCCCCATCTTCAAAGCCCGCTGTGGCTGATGGAGTCTCCCTCCCACGACGTTGCTCTAACCCCACTTTCCTCTTCCTCCTCCTCTCATGAGGACCCTTGTGATTACTCTGAGCACAGCAGGACAGTCCAGGCTGTCTCCCCATCGCAAGGTCAACCCATCAACAACCTGAGCTCCATCTTCCCCTTCAGTCCCCTGCCCTATGACATAAATAGTCACAGGGTTCATGGATTACCATGTAGCCATCACTGGGGACAATTATTCTTCCCACCACAGCAACTATTTCTCTGTACTGAATCCCCCTTTACCCCAAATACAGTCTGGGCCTGGATGATTGGACCCTGATGGACACCCCCACCAGAAGCTCTGGGATTCAGGAGGTGGGACAGTGAGAAGCCCAGACAGAAAGCCTCTGACCTGTGACCATGATCACCACAGGGTTGCTGGGTGCCGACCACCCAGTGGGGGAGTGTGGGTGTGAACTGCAACATCTGTAGGTCCCTGCATGTGCTGGGGTCACAGGGCCCATGAGAAAGCTGTTCCGGAATATTCTGTTGTAGAGCTCAGGGACAGGCATCCCGTCTTCTTTGGACAGACTGAATTCGTTAAACCCAAGACGAGAGCGACACTGAAGAGTCACATGTTGTCCTTCAGACACCACAGTGCCGGGCCAGGCAGAGAGGAAGGGCTTGTCCTGACCACCTGGGGGAGAAGGAGGCACTACCTTAGAGAGGAGGATGTGGAGCCGCCCCTCCCTCCCTGTGCTCAGAAGATTCTCCCATTTCCACGTTTCTAAGGCTCCTACCACACCTGGGTGCCCAGGGCTACAGGAAGGACCCATCCCGCATAGACATGGCGTCTCCCTACAGCAAGTGTCAGCTGAGAACTTTGAGCAGGTGCTGAAGAAGCGACTCTTACTAGATTTTAACACTGCAAAATTACTTACATAAAAGAACACAAGGTAGACACAGGATGGAGGGCATGATCAGCTAATGCATGAACCATAATAAACAACTGAGCCCCTATTAGAAGATCTGGAATGTCAGGGTCATGACTGTGGTTCCCCCACCTCTTAGGTAGAATGACAGCAGCCACATTGCAGCCCCTACCGTCATGGAAACGCTGGAGGGTGTGAGTTATGCTCTTGTCCTCAGAGGCCTGTTGTTCCTTGCACTGCTTCTCTCCCTTCCTCTGCCGGTGACACCACTTCCTCCCTGCACACCACTCCTTTGAGCACTTCAGTCTCCCCCTGGGTCCCCACAGACTCAGCCAAGGGAAAGAAAGGCCGGGGAGGGCTAGGACAGAACTGTGGCGAAGCTTCCCCTGGCTTCCTTTTCCTAGTTCATGAGAGATTCCCACATGGCTTCCCATGGTCAGCCCATCAGTCAACCCCCTGTGTCGCCTGCCTCCCGTTTCAGGAACATCATCTTATGTGGGGAGATGACAACCTAAGGTTTGGGGGAAGGACTCACCCACATGTGGCCAGGGCCCCTCCAGCAAGAAGAACCCTGGAAAGAAAGATCATGATGGATGATCCATCTGTACATCACCTCCAGGCCCATATCTCCACTCCAGGCCCATATCTCCACTTCCGTCCTATATCTCTACTCCAGGCCCATATCTCCACTCCAGGCCTATATCTCCACCTCTGTCCTATATCTCTACTCCAGGCCCATATCTACACTCCAGGCCCATATCTCCACCTCCAGGCCTGTATCTCCACCTCCAGGCCCGTGTCTCCATTCCAGGCCCATATCTGCACTCCAAGCCAACATCTCCACTCCAGGCCCATATCTCTACTCCAGGCCCATATCTACAGTTCCAGGCCCATATCTCCACCTCCAGGCCCATATCTCCACTCTAGGCCCATATCTCCACCTCCAGGCCCGTATCTCAATTCCAGGTCCATATCTGCACTCCAAGCCAATATCTCCACTCCAGGCCCATATCTACAGTTCCAGGCCCATATCTCTACTCCAGGCCCATATCTCTACTTCAGGCCCATATCTACAGTTCCAGGCCCATATCTCCACTCCAGGCCCATATCTCCACCCCAGGCCCATATCTCCACTCCAGGCCTATATCTCCACTCCAGGCCCATATCTCCACTCCAGGCCCATATCTCCACTCCAGGCCCAGATCTCCACCCCACCGCTCCCTCCCTCGATTCCCTTCCAGGACTCACCAACACACGCCATGCTGACGACCATGAGCGACATGGTGCTGCCGGTGCAGACAGGCGGCTGCGCCCCAGCTCAGTTCAGCAGCACACAGGATGTTGTGAGGGGCTCATGCAGTTTACATGCTGACCACATCATGGGAGGATGACGTATGCAGGCTATTTCTACCTTGCATGAGGCCCAGTGGCTGTTTGGTCAAGAGCAGAACATGGCTTCCTGGAAATTGTTCCAACTAGAATTGACACCTTGCATCCTTCACTATAACCAACTCAAAACACGTCTCAGATCCAATCTCTCATACAGGAGATGACTGAATGCTTGGCTTACATTAAAGACTTTTGATGTATTTTTGTTGTTTTTATCTGAGATTCAAACTCTTCTTCATGTGCTATTTTCCCCAGGCTGTTCTTTGACTTCAGAGTTCAAGCAATCCTCCTGCCCCAGCATTTCTAGCAGCTGGCAGTATGTCACAATCTGCCACACCCAAGTCACAACTTTTAGAACTTTTTTTTTTTTTGAGATGCAATCTCACTTCGTCACCCAGTTTGGAATGCAGTGGTGAGACCTCGGCTCATTGCAGCCTCCACCTCCCAGGTTCACGCAATTCTCGTGCCTCAGCCTCCTAAGTAGCTGGATTTACAGGCACCCACCACCACGCCCACCTAATTTTTGTACTTTTAGTAGAGAGGAGGTTTCTCCATGTTGGCCAGGCTGGTCTTGAACTCCTAACCTCAAGTGATCTGTCTACTTCAGCCTCCCAAAGTGCTGAGATTACAGGTGTGAGCCACCATGCCTGGCCGGGACATTCTATATGTGTGCGTATGTGTGCATTTATATACATATGGTTATACACACACACACACACACACACACACACCCTAAGCACTCACATATATAGTTGTTTCAAATTTTAAAAAATATAAATTTTGTATTTTTCTTTCTTTTTCTCACATTTGTGTTTCTATGACACCATATACATATTGAATTTTATAGCTCTATTTTATTCTTTTGGATTGCAGTTTAATAGTCCATGCATAACTTTATCAACATGTAATTATCCATTCTTTTTATCATGGACATTTGTGTTGTTTCCGGATTTTCTCTTTTATAACTCGGGCCTTGATAATCGTGTTTCTGTGTGATCCCTTGCATACATATGCTGAATTAATTAGACATATTTACCTAGAAATGAAATTATTGGTTTTGGGTGCAAGTTGGTGTTGAGCTTAACCAGGAAGTGCCAAAATATTTCCATCATGACCAAATGTGGCCTGGAAAGTTTTTTGGGGTCAATTTTCCTGTTTCTTCTAAGGAACAAAATTGATGTCACTGATTTTTCTGTCCTGTTTGTCATTTATGAATGTATGTACATATGCACGTATATATTTGCTTGCCATTTTATGTTTTTCCTCGACGTTACTTTGGAATTAATTTGCTGATGTGTAGTATTTCTGCAAGTGAAAGTTACCTATTTACTCAGCTCTTCCTTCTTTTCTAACACAGACATTTGAGGCTTATTGTCCCTTAACGCTGTTCTATCTGTATCCCCAGTCATTTGCCGAGATGTGTTTTCATTTTTAATTGATACAAAATATTTTCCACCTTTCTTTGAAATGTTTTTCTTCCACTCATTGTTTATTGCTATGTGTGTTTATTAATTTTAAAATATTTGATAATTTCCCCAGCATTTCCTTGTTGTACATTTATAATTTAATTCAACTGTTTCATCTATCATATTACCTATGATTCAGCATTTAAAAATTTATTTTGGTGAATGTTCCAGGGGTGCTAGACAAGTTTGTGGATTAGGAAGATTTGAGGTGGATGTTTTCTAAATGTCAGTTAAGAAAAAAATCATTCAAATGTTTTTCTTTATTTAAAAAAAATAGAGACGGGGTCTCACTATGGTGCCCAGGCTGGTCTCAAACTCCTGGCCTCAAGTGATCCTCCCATTTTGGCCTCCCAAAGTGCTAGGATTATTGAAATTATTAAATGTTTCATATCAACACCCAACCTTATGCACCCGCCGCCTACACAAATGTTTTTCAAGTCTTTCATATGCTTAATAATTTTCTGTGTACTTGTTCTGGAAGTGAGGTGAATGTTGCTATCTCTAGCTGCAATTTGGATGTGATTGATTATGTTTTGAATTATGCCTTTAATTTAATGTGTTTTGAGGTTCCAGCTTTAAGTGTGTAGGCATTTAGGATGATTATGTCTTATTTATGAATTTGCCTCTTTGTCATTATGAAGTACTCCTCTTCATATCTCCATATATCTCTTCTTTGTATGTGCATGGTGAAATATTTCATTCTTTGAGTTAAGAAACTTCTATTGAGGAATACTTTTTATTACAAACATTTACCTATTCTATGTATACAACTGACTAGAAGCATATTTTGCACTGGGCATTATCATGACAAGGTAATGTCATTCTTTCAATATTTACATCTTGTGGATTAGTATTTGAAGTGCAGCTTATGTAGACAGCATAAGGTTGGGTGTTGATATGAAACATTTAATAATTGCACACGTATTTGCCTCTTGGGATACTTCCACTTTTTTGAATTTCAAGTTACTAAATGGTATCATTAATCTTTGCTTCAAGAGCTTAACATTTATTGTAGAACAATGCTTCATGTAATAAATTGTGAGACATTTTTAATGGCACCTTTATTGCAGGAAAATGTTTTCCTTTTCAGGTTGAAAGATTCTAGTTTGAAATATTTTCTTGTAGCACTTTAAAAATGTTGGTCCACCTGTTTCTTACTTTCATAGTTTTGAATACAAAGTTTGCTGTCATTCTTGTATTTCTTCTTCTGTTTTTTATTTATTTATTTTTGACAGAATATCTTGCCGTCTCACCCAGGCTGGAGTGCAGTGGCATGATCTTGGCTCACTGCAACCTCTGCCTTCCAGGTTTCAGCAATTCCTGCCTCAGCCTCCTGAGTAGCTGGGACTACAGGCATGCGCCACCATACCCAGCCAATTTTTTTTTTTGTATTTTTTTTTTGTAGAGATGAAGTTTTGCCATATTGGCCAGAACTCCTGACCTCAAATGATCCACCTGCTTTGGCCTCCCAAAGTGCTGGGATTACAGGTGTGAGCCACTGTGCTCAGGCTATTTATTCCTTTTTATATAATATGAATTCACATTCATACATACCAGGGGTTAGGATTTCAACAAACGTTTCTGGGGGAGACCACTCAAAACACAGCACTCATCCTTGGTTATTTCCAGCCATGGAGCCTGTATCAATATCCTGGTGAATTATCTAAGCTGTCCACCTACCTACCCCAAATCCTCATGGTCACATAAAAGGCTAGTATAGTATAATAATTTTTCTTTCCCTGCTTATCTACAGTGATGAAGAAACGAATATTCAAAGGGAAAAATCTTAGCTTTAGGTATAGGGTAATTCTTCTTCCTATTTTTAAATAACTTCAACCTTTACTGTAGATTAAAGGTATGCATGCAGGTTTGTTACATAGGCATATTGTGTGACTCTGAGGTTTGTGGTTCCAACAATGCCATCACCCAGGCAATGAGCATAGAATCCAACAGGTGTTTCTTCAGCCTATACCTCCCTACTCCTCCCCCCATCTGTAGTCCTCGGTATCTGTTGTTTCCATCTTTATGTTCATGTGTATTCAATGTTTGGTTCTCAGTTATAAGTGATAACATGTGGTATTTGGTTTTCTGTTCCTGGGTTAGTTCACTTAGGAGATTGACCTCCTGCTACATTCATGTTGCTGCAAAGGACATGATTTCATTATTTTTTATGGCCATGTAATGTTCCATGTGTATATGTAGCACATTTTCTTTAACTAATCCACTGTTGGTGAGCACTTAGGTTGACTGCAAATCTTTGCTATTCTGAATTGCACAGCAATGAATATACTAGTGCATGTGTCTTTTTGACATAGTTAATTACCTTCCTTTTGGTATATACCCAGTAGTGGGATTGCTTGATTGAATAGTAGTTCTATTTTAAGTTATTTGAGAAGTCTCCAAACTGCTTATCACATTGGCTGAACTAGTTAACATTCCCACCAAGAGTGTATAAGTGTTCCCTTTTCTCCACAATCTTGTCAGCATCTGTTATTAAAAAAAACAAAAAACTTTTTAGTAATTGCTTCTGCTTCTCTGATTGTTGTGAGATGGTATCTCACTGTGGTTTTAATTTGCATTTCTCTGATGATTACTGATAATAAGCATTTGTTCATATGTTTTTTGGCCATGTGTACATCTTCTTTTGAGAAGTGTCTGTTCATGTCATACTTAATTGAGGTTTTTTGGTTTTCTGCTTGTTGATTTGTTTACATTCCTTATAGATTCTGGATATTAGAACTTTGTCAGATGCATAGTTTGCAAATATTTTCTCCCAGTCTGTAGGTTATCTGTTTACTCTGTTGATACTTTCGTTTGCTGTGCAGAAGCTCTTCAGTTGAGTTAGGTCCCAATTTCTGTCTTTGTCACAATTGGTTTTGGGGAGTTAGCCATAAATTCTTTGCCAAAGTCTATCTTGAGAAGGATATTTCCTAGGTTTTCTTCTAGAATTTTAATATTTTGAGGTTTTACATTTAAATCTTTAAACTATCTTGGGTTAATTTTTGTATATAGTGAGAGTTAGGGGTCCAGTTCTATTATTTTGCATATGAGTAGTCAGTTATCCCAGAACTATTTATTGAAGAAAGGGTACTTTCCACATTGCTTGTTTTTGTCAATTTTTTCAAAGATGATTGTAGGTATGTAGCCTCATTTCTGGGTTCTCTATTCTGTCTCATTGGTCTATGTGTCTGTTTTTGTAGTAGTATCATGCTGTTTGGGTTACTATAGCATTGTAGTATAGTTTGAAGTTGGGTAATGTGATGCCTGGGCTTTGTTCTTTGTGCTTAGGATTCCTATGTGTATTCAGGCTCTTTTTTTGGTGCCAAATACATTTTAGAATAAATTTTTATAATTTCGTGAAAAATGACATTGCATTTTGAAATGGATAGCATTGAGTCTGCAATTTGTTTTTGGAAGTATGGCGATTTTAACTATTTGTTCTCCTAATTCATGAGCATGGAATATTCTTCCATTTGTTTGTATCATTTCTTATTTCTTTCAGAAGTGTTTTGTAGTTCTCCTTGTAGAGAATTTTCACCTTCTTGGTTAGATGGATTCCTAGGTATTTTATTTTCTTTGTGGCTAGTGTAAATGGAATTGTGTTCTTGATTTAGTTCTCAGCTAGAATGTTAGTGGTGCATAGAAATGTTACTAATTTGTGTACATTTTTTTAATCCCGAAACTTTATTGAATTTGTTTATCAGTTTCAGGAGCCTTCTGACAGAGTCTTTAGGGTTTTCTATGTATAAAATTATTTCATCAGCAAAGAGAGACAGTATCACTACTTCTTTTCCAATTTTAATGCCTTTTATTTCCTTCTCTTGCCTGATTGCTTTGGCTAGGACTTCCAGTACCATGTTGAATTAAAATGGCGGGAGTGGTCATCCTGGTCTTGTTTCGGTTCTCAAGGGGTATGGTTCCAGCTTTTGCCCATCAATATGATGTTGGCTGTGGGTTTGTCATAGATGGCTCTTAATATTTTGAGGTATGTTCCTTTGATGCCTATTGACAGTTTTTATCATGAAGGGATGTTGGATTTTACAGAAAGCTTTTTCTGCATCTATTGAGATGATCATATAGTTTTTGTTTTTAATTATGTTTATGAGGTGAATCACATTCGTTGACTTTGTAGGTTGAACCAACCTTGCATCCCAAAAATAAAGCTTACTTGATCATGTGAATTAACTTTTGATGCACTGACAGATTCAATTTGCTAGCATTTTGTTGAGGATTTTATGTCTATGTTCATTAAGGATATTTAGTTGTAGTTTTCTTTTTTTCATTATGTCTCTGACAGATGTTGGTATCATGGTGATGATGGCTTCATAGAATGAGTTAGGAAGAAGCCCCCACTCCTTGATTTTTTCCAAAAGTTTCAGTAAGATCGGTATCAGTTCTTCTTTGTATGGCTGTTGGATTTTGGCTGTGAATCCATCTGGTCCTGGGCTATTTTTAGTTAGTAGGGTTTTTATTACTGATTAAATTTCTGAACTTGTTATTGGTCTGTTCAGGTTTTCACTTTCTTCCTGGTTGAAATATGATAAATTTTGTGTTACCAGGAATTTATCCATTTCTTCTAGGTTTTCTAGCTTGTTTGTATAGAGGTGTTCATAATAGTCTTTGACGATCTTTTCTATTTCTGTGGGATTGTTCGTAACATTGTTTTGTCAGTTCTATTTGTGTTTATTTGGATCTTTTCTCTTTTTCTTTGTTAATCTAGCTAACAGTCTATGAATTTTGTTTATTTTTTTTCAAAGAAAAACTCTTGGTTTTATTTATCTCTTGTATGGACTTTTTGGTCTCAATTTATTCAGTTCTCTCTGACTTTAGTTATTTCTCATCTTTTGCTGGCCTTGGGTTTGGACTGTTCCTTTTTTTTAATAGTTCCTCTAGATGCAGTGTTAAGTCACTAATTTGAGATCTTTCTAAACTTCTGATGAGGCATGTATTGCTATAAATTTTCCTCTTATCACTGCTTTAACTGCATCCCAAAGGTTTTGGTAAGTTTGTTTCTATTTTTATTAATTTTAAATAATGTTTTGTGATTTCTGCTTTAATTTCATTGTTCACCCAAGAGTTCTCAAGGGGTACAGTTCCAGCTTTTGACCATTCAATATGATGTTGGCTGTGGATTTGTCATAGATGGCTCTTAATATTCATTCAGAAACAAGTTGTTAAATTTCCATGTTTTTCTGTAGTTTTGAGAGATCATCTTGGTATTTTTTTCTATTTTTATTGTGTGCCTTGTTATGATTTTGATTCTTTGAATTTATTGAGACTTGCTTTGTGGCCAGTCTTAGAATATGATATGTTTTTTGTGTGTGCAGATAAGAAGAATCTATATTCTGCAGTTGTTGGGTGGAGTACTCTGTAGATGTCTATGAGGTCCAATTGGTCAAGTGTTGTCTTTAAGACCAGAATTTCTTTGTTAGTTTTCTGTTTTAGTGATTCATCTGACGTTGTTAGTGGGATACTGAAGTCCCTTACTATTATTGTGTGGCTGTCTAACTCTTTTCATAGGTGAAGAATAACTTGTTTTATGAATCGGGGTGCTCCAAATTTGGGTGCATATATATTTAGAATAGTTAAGTCTTCTGTCAAATTGAACCCTTTATCATTTTGTAATGCCCTTCTTTGTCCTTCCTGATTGCTGTTGATTTAAAGTGTGTTTCATGTGATATAAGAATAGGAATGCCTTCCTTTTTTTTGTTTCCTGGTTGCCTAGTAAATATTTCTTCATCCTTTTACTTTGAGCCTGTGGGTGTCATTACATGTGAGATGGGTCTCTTGAAGACAGCAGGCAGTTGGCTCTTGGCTTTTTATCCACGTTGCCACTCTATGCCTTTTATGTGGGGAATTTAGGCCATTTACATTTCTTCTCCTGATATATCCTTTTTATATTTTTATGATTGCCTTTTAAAATATATTGAATGGTTGTAATTCCAGGGAAATGTCTTTCAGAACAGTATTTATTCCCATCTACATGTTTTGGAGAGTGCACTAGGGGACATTGAAGTTTATTTCCTGAAAAGAGTTTAATTTTAAAATGTATTTTATTTAATAACTCAATGATTCAGGGAATGTCTAGGTATTTCAGAGATTGTTTTAGACAGTTTGTTTTCTTGTGATATGTGACCACTTCATCTAAGCTGAATAATGTCTTCATAATGTCCACTTAGAATCTTTTGAATTCTGTAGGATCTGTACTGATGTCATTGTTTCCTTTCTGATATTGGTAATTTTCCTGGGGTAGGATTCTTAGCTCCTCCTGAGGTCCTGCCTCTAAAATTCAGGGAACAATGAGTCAGATTAGTACTCTGATTTCAAAGGGAAAGCTGATCATCTACCATTTTTTGTTTATGTAAATGGACACATTAACATCCCTTGTCTGAACCTTAGTTACCTTGTTTGGAGCATTTTGCTATAAATCTCACTTCTCAGAGTGGTTGTGGGGCTTGATGTGGCTGGGGTATGGGATGGCTTAAACATAATTTATTTCCAGACCAGGTTAAGGCATGAAGGGGTTGGGACTTGTTAGAATCCTGTTGTCGGACTCCACAGTAAGGGTAGACATTTGAGGCACCCAATCAAAAACCTCAGTTGTTCCTAGCACTGAGAAATTTGATAGAATGTTTCTAAAACATTATTCATGGTCTAATGCACAAAAAGTAAAGTGATAGCCCTGGAAGTAGACAGGGAACCATAAGAAAAAAGAGAGAGCAAAGCTCAGTGGTCACCAGTGCCTGGGACCATCAAGGGGTTATTAAGGAGGAAGTTTCCACCTCTGTGGGGAACAGAAGAGGCTCCCTAGGGTCCACACACACAGGGAGTGAGCCAAGACTCTGGGCGAGGCTGGAAGCTCTGGGTCTCCTTCTGTGAGATTTTCTTTTTTTTTTTTGAGATGGAGTCTTGCTCTGCCACCCAGGCTAGAGTGCAACGGCGCGATCTCGGCTCATGGCAACCTCTGCATAAAGTGGTATGTATTTAAGGCATGCATTAGACAAATTACTAAGTATTTACTAGATAAGAAAAAATTATATCTGAATCTTTTCAAATTGCCGTCTTATGCATTATATTCTCTTTTTATAGTGCAATTTCTTAATAGTTAATGCCAGAAGATTTTTTTTTCTTCCTTTCTTTCTTTCTTTTTTTTTTTTTTTTGAGACAGAGTCTCACTCTGTTGCCAGGCTGGAGTGCAGTGGCACGATCTCGGCTCACTGCAACCTCCGTCTCTCGGGTTCATGCCATTCTCCCGCCTCAGCCTCCTGAGAAGCTGGGACTACAGGCACCCTCTACCATGCCCAGCTATTTTTTTTTTTTTTTTTGTATTTTTAGTAGAGACGGGGTTTCACCATGTTCGCCAGGATGATCTCTGTCTCTTGAACTCGTGATCCACCTGCCTTGGCTTCCCAAAGTGCTGGGATTACAGGCATGAGCCACTGCACCTGGTCGCCAAAAGATATTTTTAAAAACCTAAATGCCACTTGAAATGAATAAGACCCTCAATAATTCATGGGATATACATGTGAACTTATGACATATGATGAAATAAGCAGGTTACAAAATTGTAATATATCAAGCAAGGTAGAAAGCCATGGCAGAAAAAGAGACAAGCATTTTCAAGATAAGGAATGAAAGAGGGGAAACAGTACTATTGATTTTACAGATTTTACAAAGATATCTTAGGTGTGTTTTCCTAAATAATAAATGTACCCTCCTTTTGACCTTTATGTAATGAAATAACCATGCACACATTTTCAAATAATACTTCATTTACTTGACTTTATGCTTGAAAATTGAAGTATGGTGCTGTTTGTTATTTTCATTTATGCATTTTACTACCTTGTAATATTCCACTGAGTCTATTTACCACACTATGTTTATTTTTTTCGTAGGTGGACTTTGGTATTTTATAGCTTTGGCTAATAGGAACAGCATTCCTATAACAGTTGTGAGTGTATCATGACACATAAGTAGACATTTATCTCTAGGGTACATAATTAAGTACATAATTAAGAAGGGTCACAGCCATGTGCCTCCTCTTTTTAACTAGATAATTCCAATACACTTCCTTAATTGATTAAAGCAATTTGTACTCTTACTATTAATGTACTAAAATTCTACATGTTCAATATTCTTTCCAAAAAATGATTTTGCTACTTTTTTCTTTTCTTGAGACTGAGTCTTGCTCTATCACCCAGGCTGTAGTGATCTCGGCTCACTGCAACCTCCGCCTCCTGGGTTCATGCGATTCTCGTGCCTTGGCCTCCCAAGTAGCTGGGATTACAGGCAGGCGCCACCATGTCTGGCTAATTTTTGTATTTTTAGTAGAGACAGCGTTTCACCATGTTGGCCAGGCTGGTCTCGAACTCCTGACCTCAGGTGATCCTCCTGCCTCGGCCTCCCAAAGTGTTGGGATTACAGGCATGAGCCACCACACCCGGCCTATTTTTTTCTTTTCCCTCCATTGTGCTATGATTTTTGACATTACAATTTTACTGAAACTACACCATAAGAATGAAGCAGAAATTATTATAACCTTTAAATAAACTTTACAACTGGTTCATACTCGTGTGAACGACAATTCTTTTGACTACTTCCCAACTGTGCATTCAATGGCGTCATATGGGCACCCTGAAGTTGGCCATAAAGGACGTATTTATACCACACTAATCAGCAAATACCATAAATCTGGGGCTTTATATGTTCAGAGTTTTCTTAAGAAAATAATTTTTTCAGAGAGCCAGTTTAACAGAATACCATGAGGCTGAGCCTTCGAGCGTTAGTGTGCTCATTCTGAGAGATGATATTTCTGGACAAAGTACACAGGTATCATCCGATGAAGAGTGAAGGGAATTCAGGGTCCAGAGAGGGTGCTAGGGCATCATTTCAGACTCATATTTCCCTTTTTTTTTTTTTTTTTGGAGATGGAGTCTTGCTCTGTTGCCCAGGCTGGAGTGCAGTGGCAAGATCTTGGCTCACTGCAACCTCCGCCTCCCGGGTTCAAGCTATTCTCCCGCCTCAGCTTCCTGAGCAGCTGGGATTACAGGTGCTCACTGCCACACCCAGCTAATTTTTGTATCTTTTAGTAGAGACAGGGTTTCACCATGTTGGCCAGGTTGGTCTCGAACTTCTGACCTCAAGTGATCCGCCCACCTCAGCCTCCCAAAGTGCTGGGATTACAGGTGTGAGCCACTGTGCCTGGCCTCAGACTCATGTTTCAAAGTCCCAAATACAAATCTGCCCACCTATTCCAGTTATTTAATCCAGATCTATGCTCAGAACTGAAAAGATGGAGAATCAATAGTTCACTTTAGAGAATGCGGTAGTTGGAAACAAAGACAAATGTATTACATGACAGTGGACCAGAGCACGTGATCGCAGGGGTGTGGATGCAAACCCACCATGGGGGACGTGCCTTCACATCACAGAGAGCGAAAGGAAGGGAGGGGCAGACACGGAGGATCCACAACAGCAGGACTGAAAGCACTGCCATTTAATGGAAGTTTAATGGAGGAAGCGTTCTCTACAGGCACCCAGACATCTTCCTGAACCTGACCCAAGCCTCCCCTTCTCGACTTTCTCAGTAGACGGTTTCCCGAATGATGGTCCAGACTTTCTTCCAGAACCTCCTAGGACTATCAGATTCATTGCCAAGGCTCTGGCACTCTGAAGGGTGCATTGTTCTCTCATGTATTTACCTCCTTGCTGCATCTTGGGGACTTCTCTAGCTGTGCCAGTCCTAAAGCAGCAGAATCCCGAGGACCACCAGGACCAAGCCAGCCACAGCCACGCGGATGAGATTCTCCACTGTGTAATCCTGGGGGTGTGAGGCTGGGGATGGTGGACCAAGAGGTCTCAGAGGTCAGGGCAGATCAACATCACCCGGGACCCCTGGATGTCCACCCAGGGCACCCACCTCCCCTTCACAGGACCTGACCCTCTGTGCCAGCCCCATAACCGAGAGCATCTCCTTACACACCAGTCTTGGAGTCTGTCTTGTTTTGCGATGGGCTGAGGGTCTCAGCTGCTCCTGAGAATCAACCAAAAAAGGGGGAGGTGTGTGAGGAGTTGAAGAGACTTAAGCCAACATGTCCCTCAGTTGCTGCATTCCTTTGTGTCTACACTTCTCCTAACTGCTCTGTAGTTGTGTGATAGAACCTTTCCCTGCCGTGGCAGAGGTACATTCGCATACATACATACATATATGCATAGGTGTAAATATGTGTGTATACATAATATGTGTTATGCATATGTGTATACATAATATGTATTATGCATATGTGTATAGATAATATGTATTATGCATATGTGTATGCATAATATGTATTATAAGATATAGTGTGAGTATATATAAATATATAATATATAAGATATATAATAGTGTGTGTATACATATAAATATATAATAAGATATGTAATAGTGTGTGCATATATAAATATATAATATATAATAAGATATATAATAGTGTGTATATATAAATATATAATACATAATATATTATAAGATATATAATAGTATGTATATATAAATATATAATACATAATATATAAGATATATAATAGTGTGTGTATATATAAATATATAATACATTATATATTATAAGATATATAATAGTATATATAAATATATAGTACATAATATATAATAAGATATATAATAGTGTGTGTATACATATAAATATATAATAAGATATGTAATAGTGTGTGCATATATAAATATATAATATATAATAAGATATATAATAGTGTATATATATAAATATATAATACATAATATATTATAAGATATATAATAGTATGTATATATAAATATATAATACATAATATATAAGATATATAATAGTGTGTGTATATATAAATATATAATACATTATATATTATAAGATATATAATAGTATATATAAATATATAGTACATAATATATAATAAGATATATAATAGTGTGTGTATACATATAAATATATAATAAGATATGTAATAGTGTGTGCATATATAAATATATAATATATAATAAGATATATAATAGTGTATATATATAAATATATAATACATAATATATTATAAGATATATAATAGTATGTATATATAAATATATAATACATAATATATAAGATATATAATAGTGTGTGTATATATAAATATATAATACATTATATATTATAAGATATATAATAGTATATATAAATATATAATACATAATATATAATAAGATATATAATAGTGTGTGTATATATAAATATATAATACATAATATATATTATAAGATATAATAATGTGTGGGTAATATAAATATATAATACATAATATATAAGATATATAATAGTGCATATATAAATATATAATACATAATATATATTATAAGATATAATAATGTGTGGGTATATATAAATATATAATACATAATATATATTATAAGATATAATAATGTGTGGGTATATATAAATATATAATACATAATATATAAGATATATAATAGTGTATATATAAATATATAATACATAATATATATTATAAGATATATAATAGTGTGTGAGTATATATAAACACATACATATATATTTGAAGTGAGAAGAGTATTATATAATTTAGAAACAAACAAGTTTGTCCTCCATTTTCTTGTGGTTAATGTAATTATTATCAATAAATCAGAAGAGATCATTTCGGAAAGGATTGAAAGGGAGTGTGTCTGTGGTAAGTTAATAGGAACTAAAATTAGCATACCCAAACCAATAGCTTTCTCATCCATACGTAACTAATTTTAGAAAATAGAAAGGAATCAAAGACTTTCAAATTATTCAAGTAGTAAAACAATGCTTAAAATTCACAATGTCCACAATTTTTATGAATACAACTTCAAGCATCTGCTAACTGTATAAAGTTTAATTTTAAATGTATTGGATACAAAGACATTATTAATGAGAAGTTATTCTCCATCATGAATGCACATATTTAATTTAATCCCAAAGAAAATCAGAGCACAGTTATTTTACATCATAACGCTACCTAACAAATTAAATGTGTAAATTATAAATGCCAGCATTGCTTTGAAATCTTCAGAAACAGAAAGAGAAACTAGATATGTGGACATAAAAAATAAAGGACAGAAAGGAATTGCACACGAGGTTTGCTGTTGAATAATTTGCCTGCATTGCTGCAGTGAGCAGGTGCATGATCTCCCCTTCGTCTCAGGTATGCACTGAGTATTTTGGGGCCGCCAGGGGAGCCCAGGTGGGGAGTGGGTGGGGCCTCCATCTTCTACCCTCAGCCTAAGCATGATTCCTCCAAGGTTTCTCCATATCTCATTTCAGCCCTCCCTGGCCTTTAGCCCCATCTGAGGTCTCTGGGGTGGGAGCCCAGGATTAGGAGGTCCCTGACTATTTCCACCCTCTCATGGGCTGGGCCCTCCCCTGCCGACCCTCCCCCTTTACTCCCCTCTTTCCTTAGCGTCCTGAGCTCTCCTGGGGGCAGGGCCTGAGCTGAGGTTTGAGCTCAGAGAGGACAGGGTCAGCGGCCTCACCTGAGACCACGAGCTCCAGGGGGTCACTGGGGTGAGACAGCAGGTAGGGGAAGAATCTGCGTGAGCTGTAGCACCTGTAGGTCCCCGCGTGGGCTGAGGTCACAGGACTCATGGGGAATTCAGCCTGGTGCTGCTGAGCTTGGTGCTCTGATCTCAGACGCAGTGGGTGATGGGCTGCCCCCTCCTTGGTCAGAAGGAAAGTGTCCAACTGCTCCCGTGACTGACACAGCAGGGTCACGTTCTCTCCTGAGGCCACCGTGGGGCCCGGCTGCACCGAGAGGGAGGGTCTGCCACGGATCTGTCCTGGAGAGAAGAAGGATGGGTGAGGGGCTGCCCCACCTCGTTCTGAGCTGACACCTCCCCAGGCCTCTCCCTGGGACCCTCAGTGTCTCTGTCTCTGTTTTCTCTGAGTCTCCCCCTCCCCGCCCATCCCCTGTCTCTGTCTGTCTCTCCGTCCCTTAGGACCCCCACCCCTCATCCCGGCCATCACCACCTGGGCTCCCCCAGCAGGGCCTGTGCGGAGCCTGGGTCCCTGACTGAACCTGCTGGGCTCCTCACCTGCGATCAGGATGCTCAGGGGGTCACTGGGGGCCGACCACTCGGAGGAGAGGTTGTGTGCACCGTAGCATCTGTACTGGCCCCCGTGGGAGACCCTCACAGGGCCCAGGGTGAAGTTGGCCTGGGAGAGCCCAGCCTGGGGCTGCCGGCCAGAGCCCTGGACGAGGTCATGTCCCCCCTCCTTGTACAGAGTGAATTTGTCATAGCCGACATCAGAGCCACACTGGAGGGTCAGATTCTCCCCAGGGGCCACGACAGGGCCCTGCAGGGTCAGGAGGGAGGGCTTCCTAGACACGCCTGGAGGGAAAGAAGAGTCGGGACTAGGAGGGCTGGTTCCTCCCACACCCCTTCCTTCTCCCCTCCTGGCCCTGCAGGTCTCACTGTCTCTCACACTCAGTGTCTCTGGGCTCAGGAGTCCCAAACTTCCCTTGTTCCACCCTCCTACATGGGGCTCCGTGAGAGTAAGTTCTCAAAAATAAATAGGGCAAGGAGGAAGACATCCATACCTAAGACCAGGATCTCCATGGTATCACTGGGTTCCGACCACACCCAGGGGAAGTTCGTGTAATGCCCATAGCATCTGAACATCCACCGGTGACTGGCAGCCACACGGCCCACAGGGAACAGGGCCAGGGACAAGGGACAGCCCCTTGGAGAGTTCCTGTGAGTCCAGCATCCAGGAGAGCTTGTTTTCTCCTTCCTCAATCAAAATGAACCTGTGAAATCCCACCCTTGAGCTACACTGGATGGTCACGTTCTCTCCTGAGGTCACCACAGGGCTCGGCAGGGCTGAGAGAGTGGGTTTTCTGTGGGCTCCTAGGAGAGAAGGAGACACTGTCTTAAATGGGGCTCACGCGTCCCACATCATCCCCCAGGGCTGAGTTATTAGAACGGAGATGCCCTTGAGAGCTGACCCCCTTCCTGCAGGCAGAGCCTGGGGCTGGGACCCCTGAGTGTCCTCTTACCTGTCACCACCAGCTCCAGGGGCTCGCTGCGCTCTGACCAGCCTGCAGGGCTGAGATAGTGACAGTGGTATCTCCCTGCATGGTGCTCTCTCATGGATGGGATGAAGAAGTTGGTCTTGTTCCTGGGCTCTGGTGGGCTCTGTTGGTACCAGGTCATGGGGTTTCCTTCCTTGGTGAGATAGTAACCCTGGGTATCCAGGGTCCCCTGGCACCAGAGGGTCATGGGGCTCTCCCAGGTAATCACAGAGCCTGGCTCAGCCCAGAGGCTGGGTTTGGGGAGGGTCCCTGGAAGAAACCACAGGCTGGGGTCCACAGACCTCCCCCGCTCCTCATTCCCAGCTCAGGTCACAGACCCTCTTGATTTTCTCACCCTCAGTTCAGAAGCCCCTGAGATGAGAGTCCAGGTGCTGAGTGTGAGGTCAGGCATGGGAGGTTAGCAGAGACTCACCTGCAAGTGCTTGGGCTTTCTGGCCCAGACTCAGCCATGGAGAAGAGTTTCCTGTGGGGGATTTGGAACACAGAGGTGTGGCTGCTTCCCTTCCTGTTGGAGCACCAGTAGCCACTGGAGCCCTGAGGCTCTCTGGTGAACAAGGCTGCTGTGGGACCCTCCCCACCTCAGCCCAGTGCCCCTCCTGTCCCTCGTCTCTCCACCACTGACTGAGGCACAGAAGAACAGTGAGGATGGACACCATGATGCCTGCTCTGCGTGCTCCAGCTGTGGGACAGGTGACCACATGGCCCTCCATGACAGACAGATGCACGGATGTGGTTAAGTCAGAGCCTGCTGCCGCCTGCCTGGGTCCCCACAGCTGTGAACCCACAGGAAGTGGACAGCCCCTTGCTGGGCCTGTCTCTTATTCCCCCCCCAGTGCAGGGGCTCAGGAGGACCCAGGCCCTCTGCACACATCTCAGCCCAGACCTGAGGTGTCCCCTGATTGCCAGGGATCCTTTGTCTGAAAACCTGCCCGTGGAGGGTGGACCCAACATCATATCTATGTCAGCTCCCAACTTAGCTGGGTCTAAACTGAAAACACAGCCCTTATTTTCTCAGAGCCTCCACTCATGACATCGGCTTTCTTTTTCCCCACTGATGCAAAGACAAATATTTCCCAGCAGAAAGTCATCCTGATCTGGAGAGACCCATTTCCTGCGTTCAGTAAATAAAGTCAGTTTCATTAGGGGAGGCTCTGGGAAAATAAGGGGATGCAGACTAGCAGAAGATGAACATTTAGCTACTTGTTTCTCAATTAATTGATTTATTACCAAAGAGAGAGAAGTGGAAACATGAGAATAGGGACCATGACTAGAATGTGGTTGAGGGAATGGTTTCTATCTTATTCCCTGGCAGAGAACTAAGGGATAAGAATGAGAAAGCTGGCTGGGTGCAGTGGCTTACACCTGTAATCCCAGCACTTTGGGAGGCCGAGGCAGGAAGATCACAAGGTCAGGAGTTCAAGACCAGCCTGACCAACATGGTGAAACCCCTGTCTCTACTAAAAATACAAAAACTAGCTGGGTGTGCTGGCATGCGCCTGTAATCCCAGCTACTAGGGAGGCTGAGGTGGGAGAATCGCTTGAACCTGGGAGGTGGAGCTTGCAGTGAGCCGAGATCGCGCCACTGCACTCCAGCCTGGGCAACAAAGCCGGACTGTCTCAAAAAAAAAAAAAAAAAAAAAAAAAAAGAAAGAGAGAAAACCCAGCAGTGAGAGGTAGTTGTGAGAACACACTAAAGAGGAAAGATAATCCAGGGCTGGGAGTGGTGGCTCATGCCTGTAATTCCAGCACTTTGGGAGGCTGAGGCTGGCAGATCACAAGGTCAGGAGTTCGAGACCAGCCTGACCAACATGGTGAAACCCTGTGTCTACTAAAAATGCAAAAATTAGCTGGGTGTGGTGGTGGGTGCCTGTAATCCCAGCTACTCAGGAGGCTGAGGTGGGAGAATCGCTTGAACCCAGGAGACGGAGGTTGCAGTGAGCTGAGATTGCACCACTGCACTCCAGCATAGGCAACAAAGCCAGACTCTGCCAAAAACAAAAACAAAAACAAAAACAAAAACAAAAAACAAGAAAGCTCAGTGAGAGGTGGTTGTGAGAACACACTAAAGAGGAAAGATCATTCAGGGCTGGGAGTGGTGACTCACGCCTGTAATCCCAGCACTTTGGGGGGCCACAGGCGGGTGGATTACCTGAGGGCAGGAGTTCAAGACCAGTCTGGCCAACATGGTGAAACCTCGTCTCTACTAAAAATACAAAAACTAGCTGGGTGTGATGGCGGGTGCCTGTAATCCCAGCTACTTGAGAGGCTGAGTCAGGAGAATCTCTTGAACCCAGGAGGCAGAGGTTGCAGTGAGCTGGGATCGTGCCACTGTACTCTAGCCTGGGTAACAGAGCAAGGCTCTGTCTCAAAAAAATAAAAATTAGAAAGAAAAAAGGAGAAGGAGAAGAGGAAGGAGACAGAAAGGAGAGAAACATCCCTGAGGTGGAACATTACATGCAACATGGAGTAGGCAGGGAATCCGATAGAGCACTGAAACTCTCGCTGGGTACGGTGGCTAACATCTGTACTCCCAGCACTTTGGGTGGCCGAGGTGGATGGATCACCTGAGGTCAGGAGTTTAAGACCAGCCTGACCAACATGGTGAAACCCCATCTCTACTAAAAATACAAAAGGCTGGGTGTGGTGGCTCACGCCTGTAATCCCAACACTTTGGCAGTCTGATACAGGCGGATCACATGAGATCAGGAGTTTGAGACCAGCCTGGCCAAGATGGCAAAACCTCATCTCTACTAAAAATACAAACATTACCTGGCTGTGGTGGCAGTCGCCTGTAATCCCAGCTATGCAGGAGGCTGAGGCAGGAGAATCGCTTGAACCTGAGAGGTGGAGGTTGCAGTGAGTCAAGATCGTGCCATTGCACTCCAGCCTGGCCAATAGGAGCAAAACTCCATGTGAAAATAAAATAAAATAAAATAAAATATAATAAAATAAAATAATAAATCAAAAAAGGACTGGACATCTCCTGTGGGTTGTCAGTGAATGGAACTAAGCAAGCCACCGCTCTTTCCCTTTTGTCCCGCAAGTGTCTTTCTTGGCCTCCAGGAAGTGAGTTCCATCATGTCAGACCCTATGTTTGTTCCTGCTGGGTTCACTGAGGCTCCTCCCTTTCCACCTGTGGCTCCCCATGGGTTCCCAGTCCCCAGCCAGTGTTGTGAATCGAGCCAGGAAGACCAGCCCTATCACACCCCTCCTGATGGAATTCCCACAGTGTCATCCTGGAGAACAGGGGCTGGGGGCTGGGGTAGGATCAGAGACCTTTTCATGTGGGCCAGGCCCCTCCCTCCACAGGAGCTCTGACACGAAGCTCATCACCATTCATTTCACCCTGACGATATTCTTCCTGCCCAGACACCCCCGTTCTCCCTATGTCATCATGGGCACCTCAGTGAAATCCATGGTTGAGGGTCTCTGTCACTTACTCTGCCCTCTTCTTGGAAAATTTCCTTGGATCCTTCCAGAGCCCTTCCTGAGTGTGCTGCAGGGTCTCTGCCACATGACACACTCTCAGGAACCCTCATCCTCCCCTTAATCTACTGCGCCCACATAGCCAGGTGCAGGCTCCGTTTCTTCATCTTCCCTTCCCCACAGGCCCCGATGGAGAGTGGATTAGACTCGCTCCTGAGTAGGGACTCAGGTCACTCTGACCCCTTCCTCCCTGTGGACGAGGCCTCTGTCCCAGAGCTTTGGAGGCTGAAGGGCCTTGTGGATTCCCGCACTGGCCACAGTCTCCGATGCAGATGGGGAACTGGGGACCTGGGAGGGGTTGCCTAGCCCAAGGCCACATAGCTGGGCGGTGGCACAGCCTTCACTCACACAGGGACATTCCATCTTCCCAGGGACTTCACACTGGAGGCTAAGAGCCCCACTTTGCACACCACATTCAGGGGTAGATTCTGTGTGTGACTAACAAGTTCTCTTAGGGTTCCGAGGTAACAGGACAGCAAATGGATGAGTGAGAGTTTCCCTCACCCCACTGAAGTAGGACCATTCTCTGTGGAGGGTTGGTCCCCTGACTTCCTCTACTCTGTCATCTCCCTAGTGACTGATAGGGGTCCTGGGGTCTCTTCCCTGGAATCCCATGAGGGACAATTCCTTTCCTGAAGGGAAGGTATAGAGAGGACTAGCAGGTGCCTGGTGATGGAAAGTCCCCATAATCAAGAGACATTGCCTCCCCCCCCCGGCATGATAAATATCTGGGTTTCCAAATGGGAAATCTGTCTGTGATGAGAGCTCAGGAGGGGCTTCTGGAAGATGGAAAAGGGCTAGAGGCTGAGGCCACTGCTTATCTCCCCACACTGTATCTGGCTTCACCTCCTGTGTTTGTCCTGACCTCTTCCTTCACTCACCTGGATAAGTAGGACCCCAAAGTGGGCCTCCAGACAGGAAGCAGTGGAGAGTGTGGAGCTGCCCTGTCTACCACCCTACACCCTGACACCACTGTCATACTCAACCTCTCTTTTCCTCTTTGTGTTTCTCATTGCTTCATTTTGTCTGGAATCCCTAAGATTCCCATGTCTCCAGCAGGCTGTCCCTCAGACGTGGCTATATGATTTAGTGTTTCACAGGGCATGCAGCAGGCATGGGCTACCCCCAGTAACAGTGGTCATCTAGGGCTGATCACTCACAGGCAGAGCCATCGACAGAGAGCTGCAGCATCTAGAGGTCCCATCACCAGCCCCAAGACCCAGAGAGAAGTTGGCCTGAATGCCCCACTCTGTCTCTGCACCCCAGTGAGCCAGTGTCCAGGGGCCTTACCTTCCTCGTTAGAAGGCACAGGTCAAATGAGCTTCCAGAGCTGCAGAGCAAAGTCACATTCTCTCCATCATTACTTACTGCAGGGCACAGTTGAGCTGAGAAGGAAGGTCTCTTGTAGACGCCTGGGGAAAAAAATAGTCCTTGACTGTCGAGCACAAGCCTTACCCAGCCTATCCTCAGGGCATGAAAAAGGCATTCTCTCCACCTGTTCTGGGGAGCACACTCTGTTACCCACTCGTGCCTCTCTCCATCTCAGTTCTAGCTCTACAAGCTGGCTCATCATGTGTGTGTTTTCCTGTCTGTCTTTGCTCAGCTTTTCCTTGAATCTCTTGCTTTTTGCCGGTGCGTGTGTGGCTTTCTGCCCTTAGAACCATATGAGATTTAGGGTTCTCCTGGCACATAGAACTGTTTACTTTGAGGACCCTCAGAAAACATAGCCCTGGGCTAAGGCTCCCTGTCCTGGAACTAGAAGGTTATGGGTGTCACCATTTCCCAACAGCATGTCTGAAAGTGCCAGAATCTTCAAAGAGTCTGCAACATGTTTGTAGGATCTTTATAGGGTCTGATATTGCAGGGACCAACCAAAGTGCCCTCACACCCCAAGACGCTGGAAGTGACCCCTTGCTGAAAGTGGTTGGAAGTTTCACATAGAAGTTTGAGTTAAGCCACATTGCTGAGCAATGCCTCAGCATCCCAGTCTTCATCCAGACCTTCCAGGAGCCTGGCTGGAGGGGGTGTCTCTGGTGTGTCACTGAGCCTTATAGCAGAGGAAGGGGGCTATGGTGGAAACTACCTCCAAGATACCACTCAGTCCTAAGCTGGGGAACAAGCTGAGCTTGGATTCTGGTAGTGAATGAACCGGGAAACATTTATTTGAAGGGTTCTAAGAGTAGCATCGTGTGGGTGCGTTAATTGTATGTGAAGGGGAAGATCCTGAGAAAACAAGAGCTGCTCCACTCTGTGCCTGGGTTTACCAGAGGGACCGATGAGGTCCTCACAAGACCCAGGAATCCCACCGGGGGAAGGAGGCTTAGGGAGATGTGTTTAAGACTGTTAAGTGAGTCACAGACAGAAGCAGATCAAGCCATCCCACCACCTAGGTTTGTGGTTTTGTTTCTCCTAAACTTCCTTTCTGTAAGTAGCAGAACCTTCTCATCACCATCCTTCAAAACCTCTGCATTGTTTGAGCTCCTTGTATTTTCTGGAGATTAATCTCTTGCTTGCAAATATTCTTTCCCATTCTGTAGGTGGTCTCTTCACTCTGCTGTTTGTTTCCTTGATTGTGCAGAAGGTTTGCAGTTTGCTATGATCTCATTTGCCTATTTTTGCTTTTGCTGCCTGAGCTTTTGAGGGTTTTTTTTTTTTGTTTTTTTTTTTGAGACGGAGTCTCGCTCTGTCACCCAGGCTGGAGTTCAGTGGCATGATCTCAGCTCATTGCAACCTCCGCCTCCCGGGTTCAAGTGATTCTCCTGCCTCAGCCTCCCTAGTAGCTAGGACTACAGGCGAGTGCCACCACACCCGGCTAATTTTTGTATTTTTAGTAGAGGCAGGGTTTCACCACGTTTGGCCAGGCTGGTCTCAAACTCCTGACTTCAAGTGATCCACCCACCTTGGCCTCCCAAAGTGCTGGGATTACAGGCGTGAGCCACTGCGCCCGGCGTTGTATTGGATTTTTAATTCAGCCCTATTTTCTCCGACATTTGATATTGGCATTTTTGTCTTTTTTGGATATGCTAGGATCATGGTGTCATAATTTAATTTTAATTTTTATTTTTATTTTAAGTTCCGGGGTACATGTGCAGAATGTGTGGGCTTATTGCATAGGTCAATGTGCGCCATGGTGGTTTCCTGCACCTGTCAACCCATCACCTAGGTATTAAGCCCAGCATACATTAGCTATTTTTCCTAATGCTCTCCCTACCCCTACCCCACCCCCCCCCCGACAGGCCCCAGTGTGTGTTGTTCCCCTCCCTGTGTTCACGCATTCTCATTGTTCAGCACCCACTTGTAAGTGAGAACATGCAGCGTTTGATTTCCTGTTCCTGTGTTAGTTTCCTGAGGATAATGGTTTCCAGCTCCATCCATGTCCCTGCAAAGGACATGATCTTGTTTCTTTTTATGGCTTCATAGTATTCCGTGGTGTATATGTCTCACATTTTCTTTATCCAGTCTATCATTGATGGGCATTTGGGTTGATTCTATGTCTTTGCTATTGTGAATAGTGCTGCGATGAACACATGTGTGCATGTATCTTTGCAATAGAATGATTTATATTCCTTTGGGTATACGCGCAGTAATGGGACTGCTTTTACCTGTGCCAAAATACTGAAGTAGAAATGATTATTCACTCTAAAATGGAAGGTAATAAGATGTATACGTGAGCTATCAGATGCCTGGTGCTTATGAGTGAAGACAAGTCTGTCCAACGCTTCCCAACCCTGCATTCAGGGATGTCTCGTTGGCATCTTGATTATGGCCATGAAAAAAGAATTTACGTCAAGGAAATTGGTAAATGCCACTAATCATAGCATTTCAAAAAATGTCTTTTTCAGAATTAGCATACCATTGGGTCGTGACTTCAAATGCCAGTGTGTTGATTCCAGGTGGTGATATTTCAGGAGAAACTACACAGATAGCATCTGATAAGGAGGGAAGAGCTCATAGGGTCCACACAGGAGGTGAGGGCATCACGGTGCATTTATCTTTTCCTGGTCGGACTCTGATCTTCTCCCGTTGAATTAGTTCCTAAACCAGGTGCGGAACTCTGAACTGAAGACATGAAGACCCAGTAAAGTACACCAGGAAGTGTGGCAATGAGAAATGAAGAGGACTGTGTGACACGCCATGGACCAGAGCATGCAGGTGTGCAGAGGTGTGGACCCAACGCTGCCATGTGGGATGGAGCCTCATGTCTAAGTGTGGGAAAAGAGGCAGATCCAACCAAGGAAAGTCAACATTAATGGAGAGGAAAGGTATCACATTTTAATGGTTCTCCATGGATCACCCCAGAAAATGTCCCTGCACTCGGACATTGATTCCTTCCTCTGGAAATGACCAGCAGACAGTCCAGATAGCATCGGCCCTAGATTTTCTTCCAGAACCTCCTGGGATCATCAGATCTGTTCCTGAGGCTTCACGACTCTATAAAGTACATTATCCTCTCTGCTGTTCACCTCCCGGCTGCATCTTGGGAAGCTTCTCTGGCTGTGCCAAGCCTCAAATGACAGAATCCCGAGGACCACCAGGATCAAGCCAGCCACGCCCATGTGGATGAGATTCTCCACTGCGTAATCCTGAAGGTGTGAGGCTGGGGATGGTGGACAAAGAGGTCACAGAGGTCAGGGTGGATCAGATTGTCCACCCAGGGCACCCACCTCCCCTTCACAGGACCCAACCCTCAGTGCCAGCCCCATCACTGAGAGTATCTCCTCACATACCAGTCTCAGAGTCAGACTTGTTTTGTGATGGGCTGAGGGTATCAGCTGCTCCAGAGAATCAAAACAGAGAAAAAGAGACCTGAGCCCAGCCTCTCACCTGGGCTCTGCAATTTTTTTTTTATTACTTAATGTCTCATGATGTGACTTTTACAGAATTTCTAAAAAAAAAAAAAAAAAACCTCTTCCTCCGCTAGCAGGATTCCCTCTAGTCTCCTCATTGAACGATTTCAGTTTTCCTGTGTTCTATGGATTTAAACATTGCTCCTGAGTCATCTGGGAGAGAGTTTTCCTGCATCCTGAGAGCTCAGGATCTGCAAGGAAAGTGGTCCCCAGTACAGAGGTCACTAAGGCCTGTGTGCTCTCTGTGCAGCCTGGGACACAGGAGAACATGAGCCAACTCCCCCGGAGATGAGAGTTTCACGGATCCACCAGCTGAGGACCCAGGCTCCGTGGATGAGGGTTAGTCATCAGGGGAGCCTCAATGTCAGAAGCACAAAGGGGTGAAATTCTGGGGCTGCCTCCCCTTCATGCCCTCAGCCACTTCACCTGGAGTTTCATTGTCCATTTAATCTCTAGGTAGCTAATTATTCGTATAGGCAGCAACAGGTAGAATGTGATACACACACAGAAAAACACAAACACAAATATATATCTGTTTTATATATATAGTGGGCCTTAAAAACTATCTCTGCCTTCTTGAAGTGTGGGTTCACCTGGAGACAAACAGCAAACATATAGAAACACAGCAGTGGAAATTTACTAGTCGTAGCAATGGTTTTAGATATATTGGTAGAGACCTATATTTATGTGTGAATATATATTATTTGTATAGATATACGGATAACTAGGTTTCAATGTCACGTAAGATGTTGGTGTGACCACACACGCGCACACACACACACACACGTATATGCAGAGAGTGGAAGAGAGAGAGAAGGAATTCAGCCGCATGGTGTAGGTTGGTTAATTACTTGACATAAATGAGAAGCAGGCAGGACTGGGCTGAGCTGTGTCGTCAGTGAAGGTCACACTTGGAGGTGACATTGAAGCTGATTCCTCAATAGGAAAAAGGGCCAGGAAGGAGGCGTGTGGAGACCCAGACAGGGAGCAACAGAGGCTCCAGAAAGAGCAGGTCCCAGAAAGGTCTCAGCCTGTTCTTCAGAAAGGAATGGCCGCTTGTCTACAGGGTGGAGGAGGAGGCAGAGGAGGAGGGGAGATGAGCTTCGGGGCCTTGGTGGATTGAGAATAGGCCAGGATGAACCGGCCAGGAAAGAGCGGCCCCAATATCTCTCTCTCTGTCTCTCTGTCTCTGTCTCTGCCTCTCTCTCCCTCCCTCTGAGGTCTGGAAAGTGCTGTAGGGTTTCAAGGAGTGGTACCAGTCATTTGACTTTTTCTGAAAAGATAAGCCCTACCCCCTCCATAGCAAATGTCCAGAACGAAGGAAGTCCACATTTCTACCTGAAGTTTACAAAACCTCAGGGAGCACGTGAGATCAGGGCTATTACGAAACCGGGTGAGAATAAAAATAGGTGATGCTGCAAATCTACTTTCACCAGCTTGGACAAAAAGGCCAATATGAGATTTTAAAAACCCAAATAAAAAATGTCAACGGCGCAGAAGAGGAGCGGTGCACATTCCCTGAGCTGCTGCGGGAGCACGTGCAAGTCCCTGTGAGGCTCAGGTGTGCGCTGAGTGCTGGGGAGGCTGCAGGGGAAAGCAGGAAGTGGGGCGGGGTGGGGGGGGGTCGGGGGTGGATGCAGGTGGCACCGGCAGCCTGGATGCTTCTCTCTCCAGGAGGGCGTCTGTTGGGGACTGGGACACAGAGGCTCTGATTCTGAGGTGGAGACACCAGGATGGGAGCAGGTGGGGCCTCCGTCTTCCACCCTCAGTCTAATCTCAACTCCTTTGAGGTTCACCCCCCGTCTCCTCCCAGCCCTCCCTGCACTTTACTCTACTGAGACTTCAGGGGTGGGAGCCAGGGGTGGGAGGTCCCTGTCTATTTCCATCTTCCCATGGGCTGGACCCTCCCCTGCGGACCCTCTCCCTTCACTCCCCTCTTTCCTTAGTGTCCAGAGCTCTGCTGGGGGCAGGGCCTGAGCTGAGCCTTTGAGCTCAGAGAGGACAGGGTCAGCGCCCTCACCTGAGACCACGAGCTCCACGGGGCCACTGGGGTGAGACAGCAGGTAGGGGTCGGAGCTGAGTGAGCCGTAGCACCTGTAGGTCCCCGTGTGGGCTGAGGTCACAGGACTCATGGGGAATTC